>NC_000004.12:93163805-93466835 GCF_000001405.40 Homo sapiens | reverse complement strand
ACATATTAAACTATCAAATAGTTATTAACATGTTTTAAAATTATAAAACATTTTAGTTTTTAGTATTGATACTGAGGTAGGAGGTGGGATTCAATTCCAGAGGCAGGGCTCAGACAGTGAACCAGATTAGGCACTGGCTAAAACAGGGCCGGGGCAGAAGCAGCTTGTCATCAGACATGCCCACCAGCCTGTCAAGTCAATTTACCACTGCCATGGCAACACTCGGGAGTTACTGCCCCTTTCCATGGTAATGACCCAATGATCCAAAAGTTACTACCCCTTCCCTAGAAATTTCTGCATAAACTGCCCCCTAATCTGCATGCAGTTAAAAGTGGGTTATAAATATGACTGCAAAACTGCCCTGAGCTGCTACTCTTTGCCCATAGGGTAGCCCTGCTCTACAGGGGCAGTCATGGAGCTGTAACAACACTGCCTCTTCAATAAAGCTGTTTTCTTCTACCTCTGTCTTGCCCTTGAATTCTTCCCTGAGCAAAGCCAAGAACCCAGCAGGCTAAGCTCCACTTCGGGGCTTGCCTGCCCTGCATCAATACTATGAGAATATCAAAATAAAAAATGAAATTTCAGCATCATCATCATCATTTTAGCTGGAAAAAGCCCATATGGTTTCAGACTGCCATCAGTGGCAGTTTGTGAACATTGCTTAGTTTAGAAACTAGCCTTCCTGTAATGTTTATACTTAATATTGTGCTATTTTAGTTGCAGATCTCGAGATATAATTCCCAAAACAAAACCCTAAGTGTACTGTTTTTATAGGACATTAATCCCCCCAAAACCTAAGTCTTTATGAGCCCCAAAGAATTTACTATATAAATTGCAAACATCTTGAATCACAACT
Source organism: Homo sapiens (assembly GCF_000001405.40). Classification (NCBI taxonomy): domain Eukaryota; kingdom Metazoa; phylum Chordata; class Mammalia; order Primates; family Hominidae; genus Homo; species Homo sapiens. The sequence continues at coordinate 93,465,979 of NC_000004.12, read as the reverse complement.
TATAATTCCACTCAATTTGGGTTCATTAATTTGTTGTATTCCTGGCTATAGTCTATTATAAAAACATGTAGTAATGACATGCTTAAATAGGGAAAAATGTTTTTGTAGTTTTTCATATTTACTTGAATGACATAAAGTTATTGTGAGTTTATTAGCATATGGCTTTTACTATAAACATTTTCATTAGCTAAACAAGTTTTCCTAATATATTTCCTTATGCTTGATTACACTATGCTTTTTTAAACTAATGCTTATTTTCTGGAAGTTAATGATGAATATTGAAGGATTAAACAATATGGCTGATTCTATCTCTTGCCGTGGCCTTTGGAAACAGTGAGGAAAAAATAACTATAATGTTCTGTGCCGACTTTGTGTCATGAATACAGTTCTAATAGTTTTATATCCATGAGTTCTTTTAATTTTCTCAAACACCTGATGAAGTCAGTAATTATTATCTGGTGAACTGAGTCACCTAGAGGTTAAAAAACTTGTCAAATGTCACATAGCTAGTAAGTGGTAAAAAACAGGATTGTAAACTGAGCTGTCTCTTAAGGAAACACAAAGACATGAAAAGAGTAGTTTAGTTAGATATTTATGTTACTGAATCTTACATTTTTATAGATAAAAGAAAATTTTAAATAATCTGACACTCTATTGAAGCAAAGATCAAGTGAGTTATTTGAACAATTTCTTTCTTCCTTTGTGACTAGGTAAAAAATTGGCTCATGGTCTGTGTTCCTCTCTTTCAGTATCACAACTTAGTATGTATTTGACCCAGTTGCAGTACGCTAAATAGCAGGATATCTGTGAATTCCATGTTCGTGGTGTCTTGTGTTTCCTCAGCATGACAATTGTGATTCTATGATGGAGCTGCATGCTTCCTAGTTTGTGTCACTTGTGTATTCTAAGCTCCATGAAAACAGCCATCATGCTGTCTTATTCACCTCTGTGACTAGTTAAATAATTCTTGTTTAATATCCAAGTTGGTGTTTACTAGAGAATGAAGAATTTAAAATAGTAAAGGCAGAAGATATACTTTTAGGACATGCTAAAGTAGAGCTTAAACAACGGATATAAACACTAACTGCTAGAAAACAACTGAAGCAGATAGAATACACTGTGCAGCAATCCCAAATGGATTGTTAATTTGGAGTCTAAGATAAAGAGCTGTAAATATAAAGAGACTCTATAAATTTTGGGCACAGTCAAAATCAAAGAACAATTTTATGTGTCTACAGTGCATTGGTGGGTCATGCATTTATCTTTTGTTAAATTTTGACACAAAAAAGAAAAAAATTGCCATAAAAATGTAGTTCACTAGTGACATTGATATATATAATGAGATACATAATGTGTATTTATACTTCTCTATTAAACATTGAATTTTTCTGCCTTATAAATGTGAAAAACAATCAAGTAAAGCTTGTACCACTTTCAAGGGTATTTAACAAAATGTCACAAGGACTTTATGACCAACAATTTTTTTAAAGTTGAAGATGGGGATTTTAAATACAGTATTATGTCCATGATAATTGGGTTTTAAGGATGCATTCTAGAGCTAGGCTAAATGCTAACAGTCTTAATTTTCAAAACATGTTGACTTTGTTTTTGAAGGCTCTGGTCAGTTTCCCATGCTTTAAAAAATATAGCCATCATTATTAAACCTCTAATTACATATTCATAGACAAAGGGGGAAATGGATTCAGGTTTGGGCATGTCAAACAGAAATTGAATTTTCAAATTTATATTCTAAATAATTTAAATGATGTTCTCTACCACCACCTGCTTTCCCTTGAGCCCAATACTTTAACTTAGACCAATCCTAAATCAGCTTTAGGATAAGTTTATGTTGAGGATGTTTGTTCCCATTTTTACTACTTAAGCTGAAAAAATTGTAATATGGTACTGTAAAAACACTGAGTTCTACTCAGATTTCAGACAATACTATTTTAAAGAATCTATAGCACCTGCTTGTTTTTGTTTTTGTTTTTGAGATGGAGTCTTGCTGTGTCGCCCAGGCTGGAGTGCAGTGGCACAATCTCGGCTCACTGCAAGCTCCACCTCCCAGGTTCACGCCATTCTCCTGCCTCAGCCTCCCGAGTAGCTGGGACTACAGGTGCCCGCCACCACGCCTGGCTAATTTTTTGTATTTTTAGTAGAGACAGGGTTTCACCATGTTAGCCAGGATGGTCTCGATCTCCTGACCTCCTGATCCACCCACCTTGGCCTCCCAAAATGCTGGGATTACAGGCGTGAGCCACCGCGCCCAGCCAGCACCTGCTTGTTCTATCATTTAAATTTAGATTTAAAAATATTTTCTCAAAATCACCCTTCAATTTTTTAGTGTCTCTTAGGAAACAGCTTCTTTCTTTTGTTAAATACTAAAATAGTAATTTTAATTATGGAACATATTCACAGGTAGTTCAAAGGAGTCAAAGAAGATGTTGATTGTACTAGTTCTTGTTTTATAAGTAGAAATATGATTTCTGCCTCATGTTCTTTGATTTCTTTTAACTCTTCAAAAGCCCAGTTGAGCATGAGAAAGAATTTTCTGACTCACGTCATGAGGAGTCGGTATCAAGCTAAATAATTTTCAGGGCCATATAGTATGCATATAGTTCATAGCATAATTGCTTAGGAGTTCATCACAGTTCATTAGGAATGTAAACCAATGCATTCACAGCTTAAAATCATGGCACTGTTTTCTAGTACACAAATTACTCCTCACTATTGGTAGAATTTGAACATTCACTTTCAGCATGAAAGTTCAACTTTTTTTTTATTAGTTGTGAAGAATTGTGCGATAAAAAGAAAGAAAATGGGCACCTCGTCATGTTTTAAATCAGCATGGGGCAATTCTCAAGTGGATGTGACAGCACTCAGAATGCATTTTGGTCCCTTTGTTAAGGACTGCCAATCATAATTAACAACAACAGAGATGTTGTTTGAGCCTAAATAAAAATTATGGAGAGCTGTTTTAATTTAATACCTGTAAGAACACAATGTAGAAAAAAACCTGTCTTTGTAGTCGAGTTAACCTGTCATGGGGAATTACTCTCATTTTTCCTCTGTTCACTAGGGTCAGTAAACAACAGAGCTAGTCAATGTCATTTTTATTATATTCAAATTGAATGTGAAATATTAGGTAACAATATAAAGAAATGGCTTTAGCTACTGCATTCCAAGGCTTGAATCCTTTGAGAGTTTGTAAATAGGACATTGGTAAGTTTCATATATTTGATATCTACACTATTAAAATTGATGTCTTTTTGAGTTATCCTTCTGTGCAAAGTTTTAAAGAGATGGTCTCCCATCAACAATCTCTTCTGTTGCCTAATTCAATAGAAAAGAATGTCTGACTCTTCTTTTTGTGGATATGAGAAAGTTGGATTCTGTATAATAGTGTGATCCATCTGACAGTAGGAAGAACTCTTTATTTTCTTCCAAAAATTGTCTTGGGATTTCAAAATCAGTGGGTTGTCTCTTATGTTAACTCTTGTGCAACAGCATCAAATTATTTTCAGTATTTCTAACACTCCTAAAGGCACACTTTCTATTCATCATTAGCATCTGTGGAGCTATTTGATCTTTAAGAAAACTACCAAAGGAATTTTCCTTCTTTATTCTTTTCAATAATTCTGGCTGCTCCTCTCATCAGAAATGGTTTATTTTGATCTCAATTTGGTTAAGATCCATCGGCGTGATGTTGAACACTCCTGCAAGAACTGTTTTTCTTATTTAGCATCATACTCAAAGCACATAGGCCAGGCATGGCACATAGTATACTCGTGAAATATTTATTAAACCCTAGTTAAGAGTTATTCCTTATTTTCCTTTTGCTACTCATGTTCCTGGCACATTGTTGGTGCTTAATAAATGCTTGCTGCTAAATAAACATATATGTGGTTGCTTCAAATATTTTACATGACTATAAATATTTCTATTTCCCATAATCAGACACAAACATCTGAAGATAATTCTGAAATTTCCCTTTGCATGTAAACAGAAAGCAAATTACATACAACTACATTTGCAAAGTCATTGAAGTCCTCTGGAGACCAGATGATAGAGTCACTGCCAATAAACTAAACATAAGAGACTTCTAAAAATCAAATCCAGTTTCACTTAAGAATATTAATTGAAAGGAGATGTATGTAGACATGGAGATAACGGAGGACATAAAATGACAACAAAAGTTGTATAAAATTGGTCTCTCATTCGTGCATTTTACAACCTAATTCACAAGCTCTTAATGTTCCAGCCAAACAGATGTACTGAGTTTATCTCTATAATGGACCATACTGCTTTTGCACAGTTGGATTCCCTGAGCTATTTTTCCAGAATGCTTTGAAGTTACAGATTTTTTAAAATGTCAGGATTAGTAAACAACTCACATATATTTAACATTTTTCTGCTTTTGGCTGTCCGTGAACTCTTTTTTTAGAAATCTGTCTGATAACACATGAAATGCCTCTTTATCCCTATTCAATCTGGTATAGTGGCTCAATGAAGACTGCAATTCTGAAATAACAGCTGTACTTCCTCTTAAAAGACTGTATTTTTATTGGAAATATCACCAGTTCCAAGTCAATTGCCTATACATGGACACTGTCATTGATTTATTCTCTTTTTCATAGGGTTTATAAGCCTTTTCTTCATTTATTTTTAATCAGAGCATAAAGATGCTCTCAGTGTCTTTTAATGAATTCACCTTTTCATTGTTAGCAAGTGGAAGAATAGCAGCTTTTCAAAGATGAAGTAGCTAATCATATGCGATTCAGCATTATCTGTCATTATAAATTTGTATAAATGTACAATCAACCTGCAGGCTGTGCAACTCATTTAAGGGAGCAGTGGGATAGAAAGGTATTTAACATATTTATAACTTTTGTTATCTGTTGCATGTTTATAGAACTAGAAAAGCATGCTAACCATATGGGTAATTCTATTTATCTTTTTTCCTGGGTGTGCTCCAAAACTTATTGAAATTTGGTCACTTGGAGGAAGAATTCAGAAAGCCAATTCATAAGTATGTCAACGTCTTCACAAATGAGGCTTCAACCAAGAGGATGCCTTACTTATAAACTCCTCTTAGTTTCTTACAACAACTCAGTGGGGACATTACAGATAAATTTCTTTTTGGTTTAGTGAGTTTTAAGTCATTTGTGGATAATTTTAGTGTTTTATTTGAGACTATAATCTAATAAACAAAATATTGCAGCTAACCTCCATGCTTTATTTAGTTAAGTATTTAGCATCCATTCATTAAATTTATCAATATGAATTTATTAAATGCCTAACATGTACAAGGCACTTAACTATAAGCAAAGAGACTACACAGATTAAATAGTACACTATCTTATATTCAAAGGACTCAGGTGGAGACATGTTTAAAAAAAGGAATTACACTATGGTTGGTAAGTACTATGACAAATACATGTTGAGGAGTATAGAAGATGGTTCTCAATCCCAGGAAAGACTTCTTGAAAGTAGAGAAATAAAAGCAAAAAATTAGAGGATGAATAGGAACTTGCTGTATAAAGACAGAGAGTGGGAGTAGAGTCTAATCAGGTTGGTAACAAAGGCACTCAAGGAATTGGAAAGAGCAGATACAAAGGTGAAGAGTTAGGAAAGAGTCTTGTCTTATGGTCAAACCGTAAGTTTGGAGTAACTGGGCAATTAAATGTGAGGCACGAATGGTAAGAGATGAGAACTGAGTGTTGGACAGGAGCCAGGTGATGGAATATTGTTTATGCTCTGAAGAACTCAGACTTCTAAACTGTGGGCATTGGGAAGCCAAGAAAATAACTGAAGAATGGGAATTATGTGTTTATCTTTCCATGGCATGGATAACTTGGGTATATATGCAAGTATGTGAATCGTATATTTGCAGGAGACAACACTGGAAGAAGAAAGACTTATGAGACTCCTATAGTTCAGGTGAAAAATGAGGTAGCCTCAATCTAGGTGACAATCTAGGCTAATCTTTCTAGATAAGAAGAGATTTCCACTTCTAGAAATATTTAGTAGGTAAAATTGACAGGACTTGATTATGGTTGGATATACAAGATGAGAAAGAGGAAGAAATGAAAACTATTTTCAGAGTTTCTAACATGAGTCTGAATGGTTGGTGGTGGATCAGCTGGAATAGAGAATGTGAGAGGCTAAGAAGGTTCAAATTCTAAAATGAATTACATTTTTGGCATGTTCAAATTTATGGTGCCTCTGGTATAGTCAGAGAGTTGCCTAGGTAACAGTTGAATATACAAATCTGAAGTTCAAGAATAGATGATGTAGATCTGGGAGTCATCAGCATATTGGCAGTTGTTGAAATCATACACTGAAAAACTGAATAAATTGGAAGAAGTAAGATGAAAACAGAGGTTAATTATATCTAGGTATGTCACCTCCTATTTCTGGTCAATGCTCATATCTATCAACATCCTTGTCATCCTTCCTTATTTATTCACAACTTTGACACATGGCTCAATTTCTTTTTCTCCAGTCTAATCCAAGCCATCATTACAGCTGGCTCACCTAACCCTTTATCTCTCAGTTCCTTGATCAGCTTTGAAGTCCTTCACCAAATCTTAACATCTGGAATTTGTATCCACATACCTACAACATGTTCTCCTCTATTACATTTCAAAAAAAATTAGGCTTAGATGTCCTATTTTATAAATACAGACTCCAAACTCATTTATAATTATGTTTTCACTCTTTTTCTGTAATCTTATTGAGACCTCTACTACTCTCTCCTAACTACTCTATCTTTTTTTTTTTTTTTTTTTTTTTTTTTGAGATGGAGTTTCACTCTTGTCATCCCGGCTGGAGTGCAATGGCACAATCTCGGCTCACTGCAACCTCCCGCTCCTGGGTTCAAGCAATTCTCCAGCCTCAGCCTCCTGAGTAGCTGGGATTACAGGCGCCCACCACCATGCCTGGCATTTTTTTGTATTTTTAGCAGAGATGGTGTTTCACCATGTTGGCCGGGCTGGTCTCGAACTCCTGACCTCAGGTGATCCGCCTGCCTCGGCCTCCCAAAGTGCTGGCATGTGCCACCATGCCAGGCCTACTCTATCAATTTCTACCCTTACTCTTCTTTACATTCGCATTCTTGGTCCTTCTCTTTCTAGTTCTCCATATACCCCATGATCTACTATTTCAATCAATATCTACATCAAAATGATCTACAATCATTTGTCTTGTTATCCCTTTTTTTACATATGTCAATTATCTGCCGCTGAGTCTAATTCATTGTTTTATTTATTTAGTAAACACTTATGTGACACTTATATAAGTTATATCTAAGAACTTCACAATTTTAACCATTCATTAATAAATTCTCATAAAAACCCATGAGGTGGGTACATCCAGGATGTTCTCTGCAAGAGGAATTCACACCATCACACAAGTTTATGACTCCCAACCTGGAACATAAAATTCTTTAATTGGGATGTTCTCTGTGGAGAAAGCAACTACCATGCTGTGAGAAAGTCAAACTATCCCATGCAAAGTGACCTCATGGAGAGGCCCAAATGGAGAAAAAGCTGAGGCCACTAGCCCACAGACCGCATCAACCACCAGACATGTGAGTGAAATGAACAAGCCTTTGGATGATTTTAGCCTCTGGCCTCTGAATTGTCTAGCTGAAACCTCAGACATCATAGGGCAAAGACAAGCCTTTTTTGCTTCAATAATAAATTTATTGTTAAATCCAACAAAAACCTTTCAAGCCTTAATTTCATTTGATTCTTTGAAAGGTTTAACACAGTCAACCAAACGTATACTACTAGCTGCTCTGATTTTCACTTGTGCATTTATAGTCACTCCTTATCAGGCACCACTGAGTGCTCCTCTATCCATTCCTTTCCTTAGAGCTCTGTCCTAGGCTTTGTATGGGCCAGTGGTCCTCAATCAGGAGTTTGCAATTAAGAGCAACTACTCTGTGTGATCTCATTAACTCCCATGTCTTCAAAATTTCCTACATTCCAATATCTCCTAAATATATATTAAGTCCAGATGTCTCTTCTGTGCATCTGACAAATATATCAAACCACTAAGCACACATTAGTAATACTCTTTTGGATGTTTCACGGATAGCTCAAACTCAATGTGCAGCAGAATGAATGTATCATCTCTCCTGTCATATCTGTTTTTTCTGTTTTATTTTTTCAGTAAATGAGATCCACATCCAATATACATAATTTTCTATTCAAAAACCTAGGATAAAACTTTATCTCCTTTTTTCTTCAGTACTGACCCCCACACCACGCTATAGGTAATCAAAGCCTGTTGATTCCATTTCATCAATACTCTCCTCTTGACTCCCAAAGCTACCTTACCTTTGAGCAAGCCACATCAACTCTTTGCTCAGTTATTGTAATAGTCTTCTAATTTGTCTGACTTTTCACATTGCCTTTTTTCAATCTATTCTCCACATTATAACCAGAATATTTCTAGAGTAAAATTTGAATCTGTATTTTCCCATTTATTATCTTTAAATATCTGATCATTTCAAGGATCAGTTCAAACTCCTTATAATAACAAATGTAGCTTCAGCCTCATCTTTACTAGATCCTCTCTGCTTGGACTATCTTAATTTCTCTCTCACTTCTTGGTCTGAAATTCCATCCTAACCGTTTATGTCTCCTTTTCTCCATTCATCTTCCTCAAGAAGCACTTTCCATAGTTAACTCTGTCTCTCTGTATAAAGTGTTACTTTAAAAAGCCTTCTCTGCGACATTAACATATATTAAGTGCTTCTACACCTATGATCTCCTAACAGTCTATGCTTATCCTACCACAGAACTTTCTACCCACAATTGTAATCCTGTGTTTACATGTTTGTGTCTCATTAGACTTCTGTTGTGGCGCAATGATGGCAAAGACCTTCTTGCTCACCATCATACACTAATTGCTTAGGAAAGTTCTACTTAGATAGTGTGGATTAAATATTTACTGAATTAATTATTAATGAAAGAACTAAAAGTGTCTGTGAAAAATATACAGTAACAGGTAAGCTTAGAGCCCTGGATATGGAAGGGTGGAGGGAAAAGCATGCTTACAAAAGGTTTAAGGGCTAGATTAGAAGTTAGCAAGTCAGATGAAGGTTCTAGACTAATCTTTGATTAAATTAGAATAGAAAAATGAAGTTAAATGGAAGGTCCAAGAGAAAATAGGAATAAAAAGAAAGATGTTATTGAGAGTTGTAAATATTAGCACAAAAGTATAATGTCTCCATTGTAGCAAACATCCTCCTCTTCAATATATGTGTAGAGCTTGCAAGAGACTATCAATTTTCTTACTATTTCATTCTCTATGAGGCAATAGTCTCAAGTAAGGAATGCAATAAATATTATTCTATTTTGAAACAGTGAGAGCCAAATAATTAATTGGACAAGTTTAAAGAGTTGGGCAGATTGGATATTAAATAACAGAGCAATGACATTCTTTAGAAAATAGTGAAATTGTAAGTTAAATCACCAGTAAAGATTACATATCAAAGTAAAAGATAAAACACAAAATTTCTCATCAGTCTCAAATTAACCAAAGTCTTTTCAATGACAATATTTTTAATGCATGAAATAATGTCTCTGAACAAAGAACAAGTCCTAACATTTCTTACATATGTAAATAATTAAATAGTACCTTCTCTGGTAATAAGTAATTTCATCCTTATAAGGCTATTTCTCAGAAAGTCAGAGTTTGGAGAGGAAAATCTGATCTTGATGTTTTCTGTGAGCTTTACCTTTGACATTCACATTTGCCTTTGTTGATGAAATTAAACTTACATCAAAAGACAATGAACCATTATTGCTGGAAACTTGGTGTGTCTGAGATCCACTAGGAGGAAGTAGCAAATGTTCTTTTCTGAGCATTTCTGTGAGTACCCTTTAGAACACTTATTGATGTCAGATACAGAACCTTATTAACTGAATACATGGCTTTGGAAACATCACATTCTATTTTTTTTAAATACTAGAATGTACTTTTGCTCCTTACCTTGTTGTACAAAAGATCCATACACAAACCACATGGAGTTGTAGAGAGTAGTAGACGTCATTGATCCCATTTGTAATCGTGGGGGATTAAGCCAGTTCAAGAGGTAGACCAGTAGACCCACCAGAAGGACTGTGCCAGCAATGCAAGCCCATAGAGAGAGATCAAATGGTGCAAGACAGGCAAACATATCCACTGTCTTTTCAGCCCTTCGAAGTAGTACCCCCACTGAGTAGTCCATGTAACGTGTCGTAAAGTCCACCACATTTTCACGATCTGGAGTGATGGTTAAAGCAGAAATCCCTATGTCGGCTCTCTGAGAAATTGAAAGAGAAAGGAATACATTAACAGTGTGAAAAACAATTTCATTTGTGCCACTTCAGCTTGCCTCGAGGAAAAAAAAATAGATGCCTCAGGCAATATAAATCTTTTTATATAAACTGAAACACTGCATAGACTTCTTACAGAAGAGCTATGTGTGAATTTTGCATTTCTTACTGAAAATCTTGCCCCACCAGAGTCAGACAAATTACCTTGTTCATATTATCAGCATATGTAAAATCAGTGAAGAATATTTCAGACACAGATAACACAGGGAGAAAATTGTCTTTTTTCGTGGGTCATTTTATCAAAGCAATCATTAACAGTAAAGGAAAAGCTTATAATGGAGAATCTTTTCTAGGAACATGTTCCCAAGATATTCAATATGTTCTTAACATGTAAATTACTAGGTGGGCTATTTAGAAACTTCAACATGGCATTTTACCATTGGTTTATATTTCTCTTCACAGAAATTTATATTATTGGGCTCTAAACAGATTTGTTAGAGTTTTTATAGCACTAAGGTGTCATATGCCTAAGGTCACTACTATGATTGTATTGTATAAACTTCAGAAATATTTTAATGAAAAAGTAATGATTAAGGAAAGAGAATTCTTCTTGGAGTAATAATCCCTTTCTAATGTGTCTTCTTAGATTCTCAGTGATAGCACTCTTAACTACAGCATTTACTATTTATTTAAAATGTAACAGAATCTCAGTAAACCAGAGGGTAGATGACTTCACATTTAAACTGCATAATATGATAATACATATTTAAATATCTAAAAGATGTGTCTTTTTTGAAATAATGATCTTCAGCTGTGATTAAAGCTGCAGGATGACCCTTCCAGACAAACAAAAACACTAGTAAATTATTTTTTGAACATTTTCTTGTATTTTCTTTTTAATTGTTTCAGGAAAGAAGATAAAACTTGTGTTTATAGCTTTTGGGAACAAAAACAAAGAAAGATATGAAAAGTAACATCCCTAGTAGAATGCTAAACCAACTTGGATGAATCTAGTCTCAAACTAATAATGCTTTTAAAAATATTCTAGCTAAAGTTAAGCAGTGTGGGTACGTGTTTGTATGTCTGTGTGTACCGAGTTCATATATCTTTGTTGCTAGGCCCTGTGCTAAGTATTTAAGTATTTTTTTTTACTTAGTCCTTACAATGAACTATGAATTATGTGTTTTCCTCTCCATTTCGTAAGTGGAGAAACTAAACCTTAGAAGTTTAAGTAACTTGTTCAGATCTCAGTTAGTAAGTACAGAAGTTAGATATTAAAGCTATGTTTTACTTATTCCGAAGGCTGTGCTCATAATCATTTTACCATATTGCAGCTATCATTCATTTTCCAAATGAACCATATAGTAGGCACTCAGGGTAATTGGTTCTAGGAAATTTTTTATATTAAAACAGTGTGAAATTTTGCTGTTTAAACTGTACTATTTACATTATAACAAGACCATATTAGTATACGTACCATGGATCTACAATTATTAACTGAATGGTATTAAACTTAATAACGCTATATGAAAATGAACTTGCAGAAAAATATTGCTTTCAAACTCATATATGTATTTAATTTTTATAGCAAGATATTGGGAATTGGGTCTTTTCAGATGGAAAATCTAACCTGGATGTTTAACTCCCTTGTCCCGTCTTTTCTGAGCTTTAGTTTAATCTATTTGTGAAATGAATGTAACTGTTCAGTTTCATTATTGTGAGCTGACTCATTTATCTTGATTTTAATGATGAATAAATAACTAAGATTCAATTAGGTGCTCAGAAGATGCATTTACTTTTTCAGGCCATTAAAGTACTATGGATCAGTAATTTACTAATTGATCACTAGTGACCCAAAACATTTAATGACTCAACCAAAGTCAGAAAATTCCACCTGAGGAGGAATTTACTGACAACATGTTGATAATATTTATAAAATGTTCACAAATATTTTTCTAATAAATAATTATATGTTTTACTTTTAAATGATTATAAATTGGAATGGTTACTGATTTTAATAATGGATACCTTTAAATATCACGAAGTGAATTTTTAAAATAGAATAAAAATAGCTAAAGTTTTTTATTTAGGAAAAGGGAGCTGATTATTTGTATGTGCTACACTATTTATTAAATTTAACAATTACTTGTCATATATCTATAAACAAATTCCTAAATTCTGGTCTATTTTCAACATTTGGCTATTCTATTTTCAAGGAGAAATTTCTAGCCTCCCTGTGGGAGGCATATCAGAATCATATAATGAACTTTTTCTAACAAATACACACACTCTCTCTCTCTCTCTCTCTCTCTCTCTCTCTCTCTCTCTCTCTTTCCCATCTCTGAGTTTTGTATAGTCTTCCTAAAGAGGTGCTTCACTCCATCCTTCAGAATCAATGATACAGCAGAACACTGTAATGGATAATGAGTATGTGGTAGTCCTTACTTATATTAGAGGTGCTGCACTGAAGCAAAATTTAAAAAAAGGCCAAGCAAGGACAGAAAACCAAACACCGCATGTTCTCACTCATAGGTGGGAATTGAACAATGAGAACACATGGACACAGGAAGGCGAACATCACACACCGGGGCCTGTTGTGGGGTGGGGGGAGGGGGAGGGATAGCATTTGGAGATATATCTAATGTTAAATGACGAGTTACTGGGTGCAGCACACCAACATGGCACATGTATACATATGTAACTAACCTGCACATTGTGCACATGTACCCTAAAACTTAAAGTATAATAAAAAAAAAAAGGCCAAGGACCACTAATTCAGAAAGACAGTTCTAAAACTTCCTAAATATCAATAAACAACATAACCAGAAATAATCAAAGACAATTATTTATTCTTACCCTTCTTAGGTTTTTATTTATTTGGTCAACTCACTTGTCCACTTTTTACAACGACTTGTCACATCTTTAATCCTACTGTTATTATATAGAGAACATAGAAGATGGGAGATTAAAAATCATACTTATTTCTGTGTTCCAACCTATAGCCCATACCCAGTCTACTCTATTTATCTGCTTCCACAATACAGGAGCTGTCCCCTTTCCTAAGGCTAACCTTCCATCATTAAATGTATCAATCTCTCTCTATTTCAGATACTTAAGTTCCTGTCTCATGCATTCAACATCATCCTATTAACTAGATTTCCCATTAAAAGATTCTTTGTTTCTTGTTAAAATGAAATCAAAGAGATTGAGCCCTTCCCTCTACTCTCTGGTTACTCCACATTACCACATTTTCTCTCCATTTTTATATATCCCAGTCACTCTGAGAAAACTCTTTTTCCCCATATTGTTGGATACCCTATTCCTCATGGAAAAAGTACTTCTTAATTATTGTATTGTTGAACGTAGTGGATATACTTCAAAGCTCATCTAATCAGGTCTCTTGACATTTAGCATTGATGATTTCTCCCTCCATCACAAACACAACTTTCCCTTGAATTTCATGACATAACATACACCTCTTTCTCAGTTCCTTTTTCAAGCTCATGTTAGCAGTTCTCTGGACTTGGGCCTACATCCTTTTCTCATTTGAGCTCTTCTGCCTAGGCAATTCCATCTGTGTTCATTACTGCTATTGTCCCCATCTACACACAATTTACAAATGTATTATTTCTAGATGTGTATCTGAGCTCTGGGATCTAGACTGATTTATTCAACTACATAATTGACATTTCTACTAAATGACTTAAAAATACCTCAAATTTAACATTTAACATGGCCAACATCATACTTATGATATTCAACCAGTCCTCTTCCAACATCTCTTGCTTTAATGGTGTCTTTTTATATAAGTCATAAAACTTGTTAGCTTCATTATCTTCTCCAGCCTATGCCCCCTATCAAATCTATCATTATTGATTTTACCTCCTGAGCATCCTAATATCCATTCATTTCTTTACTATTTCCAGCTTTCATTGTTTTCCTAGGCTCCAGCTCCTTGTAAGACTACCTGAAATCTACCTTTCTTCCTCTTCAGTCTCCCTATTGTAGCCAAAGTAGTCTTTCTATAGAGCAAATCTGATCCTGTCTCCTGCCACACTTTAAAAATTTTCAATGAATTTGCATGGCTCTTAGGAGAAAGATTAAAAACATGGTCTACACACCTTTACGTAGGCTATCCCCAACCTGCTTCAACATATTCATACTGTACCATTTTCCCTTCCAGCAGTTCTTCCTGATGCATGGTCTTTGTACATGCTGTTCCCACAGTCTGGATTGACCCTCCTGAAACTTCAAGTAAACACTCATTTATATCTATATGTCAGCTTGATTTTCATTTTCACAGGGAAGCTATCCACTATCTCTTTGATTGGAACAATAATTTGTTTACACTATCAGAAGTTTACATTCCTCACTTTCCTAGCCACTATGACAGCTGCAATCTTACATATGTTTATATGATCTTTTCAATAATGTTTGACTCCTCCACTAGGCCATAAGCTCCATGAAAGCAAGGATTGTGACTTTTAAAAAAATTACATATCACATTTTCTGGCATAGAATTCATGGTCAATAAATACTTGCTATGAATATATGAATAAATAAAGATGGAGCCCCTACTAAACTTATATTACCTAATTATTATAAATCTCTTCCATCTTTTTGTCTGCATTCCCAACAGAGAGAGGTATTTAAATAATAAAAAGAAAATGGCAATATGAAAATTGACTGTTTTATAGCAATGATAAAAGATTAATATCCTGAATAATTATGTCAATAATTAAAGTAAGGTTCTTGATTTATCAGTATATTTACACTTACATTATTTGCAAATAGCTAAGATAATTAGGCATCTACTATAGAAAATTCAATATATTACAAAATATTATATGTCAAATATTTATTGTAAAATGATTATTTAAATTTTGATTAGGACTAGCACTAAAACTGGAATATAAATACATTTTTAAAATTATTTTAATTATATAGTCATAATATTTTCCTTGAGAGAAGATACAAGATTTGCATTCTCTCAAGTCATGAAAAGGATATGGATGGATGATACAATGGAGCATGACTAATAAGCAATATAATCACTGAATCTTAGAAGCTTAGACAAATTGAAATACATTTACTCTAAATTTAATCTAAAATAAATGATTATATGTAACAACTAAAGATCTAATTTATTCTTGAATATAATGCTAAGAACATTATATTGGTAAGATTAATAGTATGCATTTAGTTAGTGCTTACTATATACCAAGTATCATGTGTTTTACATGCATTATTTTAACATTACACCAAGTCCAGTTGCTTTTTCTAAGATGAAAATTTTGCATTTGAAATATTCTAATTATTATAAAACTTTGATTTTATAATGAATCAATACCTGCTTCCCTGTACTCTTTATTAGATGTTTTAGTTTTGTCATCCATACATTATGTTATCAATCTAAATAGATCTGCCCTATGACAAGCTTTCAAACTTTTTCCAAAGATATGATTTTCTGTCCCTCAAAATACTTGTCATTCTCCTGTGAACACAGTCTAAATAATCAGTTTCCTCAATTGATATAAATTATACACTTTTTAAATAAAATTGGAGGCTGTATCATTTTTATTAGGTGATTTTTAATACTGCCTTATGCTAAATTTAAGGTCAAATAAAATTTTAAAAATATTTTTAAAATAAACACTATCAAACTAGTAGCCCACAAAGTCTTATGCAATTGAAGCAAATGTTAGATTTTATATTTGTCTCTTTAATTTCATTCTTTGGTTCTTTTGTATTTTTCACATCTACTGTAATCTATACTTCTCATTCATTATGTCAACTTTATTTTACCATGTTTGAGCCATTCAGAAGTTGAGGAGCAAGCCTTTAATTCTTCATTCACATTACTAGTAAAGTATTGATGAAACATACATTGGCAAGTTCAAAGTATGGCAATATGCCTCTAAAGTTCTATGCACTTTGATGATAGCTCACTAGTTAAAACTTTAGATATAGCTTTTCAATCACCTATAAATATTCCTTACTACACTGCCATCAAGCCACGTTTGTCTATAGGGTTTAAAGTGCTTTGTAAAAGGCATTATTGAACTCAAAATACATATTTAATCAGATATTCATTTGATCCTGAATAGCTAATGCTATCAAAAACATGAACTGCTATTTTAATCATCTAAAACACATCTGATTAATAATCCATTCTGTAATTTAATCTGAGAATAAAATCAAACTCACTGCTCTATCAGAATGAAAATTTTATTTCTGATTTTGAATATGACAATTCCAAACTAAATATCACCTCTGTTTTTCATGTTTTGTACATATTGCTTGTAGTAATTCACGTATCACTTCAGGAAATGCTTTCATTTCAACTTTAAATATTTTCTACAGAAAGCAGAAGGAAAATAGTTACTGAAGAGTTTTGGCACACATTTCACAAGTACTAGGTCTACTTCTGCCTATCTAACTTACTAAACTGTTTCCTTCTCTTGCTGTTCAAGAGAATAAATTTTTGTAAATATTTGAAATTTCTTGATAGTTTTCTTAAATATTATTTGATTTTATTTGGCTTTTAAATAATATTACAATGTAAAGATTCCAGGTTTGCTTGGGAGAAAGTAAGGATTGAAGAAATGCTAAAGGAAGGAAGAAAGGGTGGAAAAAAAAGGGAAGGAGGAAAAATAGGAGGGAGATGGAGAAGAAGGAAGGAAAGAAGAAAAGAAGGAAGGGAAAGGGAAGGGGAAGGGGAAGGGAAGGGGAAGGGAAGGGAAGGGAAGGGGAAGGGAAGGGAAGGGGAAGGGAAGGGGAAGGGAAGGGGAAGGGAAGGGAAGGGAAGGGAAGGGAAGGGAAGGGAAGGGAAGGGAAGGGAAGGGAAGGGAAGGGAAGGGGAGGGCCAAGACTACTAATTACGCCTTTAAGTATCCTTTACAGATTCTGATATATAGTATTTTTATTACCACTAATTTTAAAGATAATTTTTGTTTCTTTTTCTCTTTTCTACAGTTGTTTAACATGATGATTTCTTAATTTCAGGTGAAAAGCCTTCTCTTACTGTTCTTCTAAATTTCTAGTTTTATTGTATTTTGATGAGGGAACACTATTTGTAATAAAGTACTTAAATGGAACTTAATAGTGTTTTCTTTGAGGCCAATCAATATATGATTGACTTTTGTCAATGTTCCATGTATGCTTGAGAAAATGGCATATTATGAGGGTGTAGTGTTTGATCCATATCCCAAAAATGTATCTTATTTAATCTATTCTTTATGTTATTTATTATTGTGTAGATTTTGTTATATTTACTGTGTTTTTCTATGTAGCATGTTTTCTTTGGTAGGTTTTTCTTTTACTATCTAGAAAGATTTGCACTTTTATTATAGTTTTTAACCTCAATATTTAAAAATTTTATTATGCTTTTACTCCTTTTTTTCCAGTTAACGTTTTGAAAATTTTAAATAAAATCTGTTACTTCCACTTATTCCCTAAAGTGCATTACGATATCCTATTTTCCCCTACTTTCCCCTTTTCCTTTGATTTTTTAATACCATTCTTTCATTTTTAGAACACATGATGATTTCATATTATTATCTAATCCATGTCTCCAACTTTGCTTACTATTAGATATTTTGCCAAAGATTCTCCTGTTATCTTTTGGTTGAATGAAGCTCATTCTGTAATAAACCCTGTTTGGTAATACTTTACTATGTTCTAATATGCTGACGGATTAAATATGAAAGGACATTTAAGATTTTTGGATATTCATATCCAAAAGAATTTTGTAAAAGAATTCAATTATCACTTAATAAGTATTTTTATTACCACTACTAAAGTGATATTGAATGTTTTTTCTTTTTTTGTATGTGATTTCATTTTCAGCCATTCTTTTGGGAATTACTCTAGCTCTTCAGAATTAATTGGGTAACTTTTATGAAATGTCTTAATCATTTGGCCTACTCTTTCCTGAAATTAAGAAAACAGGCAGGAGATAACATTATTAATTTGTTTGTAAACAAATAACATTTTTTGTCATATTGGACATATATTTAATTGTCTTCTATTTCTTCTTGGGTCAATTTTAATGATGGGATGTTTTCCTTGATAATAATTCATGCCATACGTTTCTTTCAAATAATTACGATAAAGTTGTACTTACTGTTCCATCATGCTTGTGAAAATTTTTCTTAATTGTGGTGTACACATGTTTTTGATACTTTTATTTATGCATTTCATTTTCCAAAACCAGACATGCCCAAGGCTTGTTTTTGTTTTATATCTTTTCAAAGAACTGTTTTTTCCCTTCAATTAACCCTATTGATTTATGAATTCTAAAATACAGATTTTAATGCATTTTAACTCAAGCTTTAATGGCTTCATATTTTGTTTATTGAGTTGAAGGCTTGATTCATTATTTTAATTTAGTAATTAAGTAGAGTTTAAAGATGAACACGTTTCTGTAAGCAAAGTTTTAAAAACAATTTACATGTAGTGCTTTTGTTATCATTATTTTCTAAATAGTCTATACTTTTAGTTTTTATTTCCTCTTTGCTCTAGGAACAGTGTATGAGAGTTTTTGCTCATTTGCTATTTTTACTTCCAAGTGGTTTGAGATTTTGTCTTTGTTTAAAATGTTATTCATCTTAATTTTATTGTGTTTTAATCTGGTAATTTGTTAGGTATTACTTATGTTGTATATAAATTTTGGAGTTGGAGGCACATGATGTATTATCAATTTTTGTAATTAACCTATGGGTCTTCAGTGTCTATAGGACACAAATTTATATAAAATATATATTAATTGTACTATTTATATTATATTTAATAGAGTTGTAAAATGTTATCCTTTCAGTCTTCTCTATCAAAACTCACATGTTGATGGTCCATGATTCATAAGTAACTTACAGATGTGGTTATGTTCAACCACAGTTTTAAAATACTTCAGCCAGAATTCAAAATTAGTAGAGTCTACATAGAAATTCAAACTTACAATTTCATGTGAAAATTGCTGGAGTCTGTTTCAAGCAACTTGTTGAATTTGAGAGACAGTGCCCCCTTGGAAAGTTCATGAGATCTTCAATTCACTTTAGCTCTCACAATTCAAGCACATTGTGTGCATAGGTACTATACCCAACTTTACTTTTATACCTTAACAGCCTGATCTCTATTAGGTATTTGAATTTATTATCCTTCATTTCTTCTCTTGGTTTATTAGTCTAACTGATCAGCACGGCAGATTACATAAGATAGCCACAAAGTTCTTCCTATTCTGGTATTCCTGCCCCTTTGCAATGTACTGTTCAGCTCTTCCAACAATTGGTGCAGTCTATTTCCCTATCCTTTAACTTTGGGATTAGCCAGGAACTTGCTTTGATCAATGGGAGAAAAGCAATGTGATACAAACAGAGCATTGGAGGGCTGGCACAATGGCTTGCCATCTATCTTGCTGTGCCAGGAACCCTGGATCACCATGTGAATGAGTCCTAATTTGCTCGCTGAAGAGTGAGGAGCCATGCAGAAGATAACAGAAGTGCTGCTACTGAGTCACAACAGCAACTTGGCAATGAAATATTATGCTTCCTGCTGAGCTAATACCCTGCTCTTTTCTGCAGTTTGTACCCTTCCAAATTAGGACAATTAATGGATTTTGTCAGGGTCACGTGAAAAACAGAAATTTCTTAGGAGTGTGCTTTTTTGAAATCTGCCAATTCCTGGTTCATGGAGGGTACCCTTACTTAATTTAGAGTACTGTTGTAAAATTTCCTCTAATTTTCTATTTATTTGTCATATCATATGAGATCTAAAAAATGGAAGGTAAAGGTAGATGCTTATGTTTTCTTCAACATCTTAAGTAAATAGATATTTCAAAAATTTTAAAAATTTCTTTAATGGAATCATTTTAAAATATCTTCCAAGCTCAGTAGAAAATAAATATTTCGACAGGGCTTACACATGATAAATCAGTGAATATTATTTTCAAGTACTTATAATGTTATTCATTTCCCAAGTTTTAGGTATTAAAAATGTGGGAAAAGGAATTTTCTAACTTGGATTCCCAATGAAATGCAGTAATTTAAATTATGTTAGTGTATTTAGCTGAACATGGAAGTTGGGCCAATATAAAAACAAAACATAAAAGTGAAACTTTTATATACCACAGAATGGCTAATAAGTTTACCATTTACAAAACATAGGGAAGCAAAACTAAGATGAAAAATAAATAAGTTTAAACACTGAACTGTAAAAACTATGTATGAATATATTCTAGTTTTTAAAGGGTCAAATTACATAAAATCAGCCTATTTTCTTCCTGCAGGTAAAAGAAATGCCCAAAATATCACTGGCTTAAAAATCAACATGAAAGAAGTTCCCTGGCTGACTATCCCAGGTTTATCACGCTTCCAGAGCTAAGAACCAAACTTATTTTACTTATTTTCTCTTGTTGCTCTGTGCTCCTCAGTACATAGCTTCCAACTCATGTCTTTAGAGGGCTGCTTGAACACAAGTCATCCTATTAACATTCCAGCCAGAAGAAAGGAGGAAGATAAGAATAAGAATAAAAATCCTTCCTTTAAGAACATTTCTCAGAGGCATCACATGATATTTCTGCTTAAATATCATTGGCTACAATTTAGTCACATGACCACACTAGCTAAGGAGAGAAACTGGGAAATTCATATTGTGGGAAGTCTGTATCTGGCTATTATGATTCAGGAGCTGTATTACTAAGAAAGGAGAGAACAGATATTTATAAACAATGAACAGTCATCGCTACATTTCCTCATATGTAAACACTGTTTTGAGATTGAAAAAGTTCTTTTAGACTCTTTTCTATTTTTACATATACATAGGTATGTACATTTTTTCCATAAACCTTATCATAATGTAATGTAATCTTAGAGAAATACATGTTTATCCCTACCCAATCTTTCTAAATACTGCACAGAATTTTGAGCAATAATTATTTTTGTCACTTTTGTATTTTTAACACATTGATAGCACATGAATAGATGCTCAATAAGTGTTTATTGATTATGAAGGTACTCTAATTTACATATTTTCGCTTTGAAGGACTTTTTTGAATGTTTCCTTTTTCTTACCTATTATAATTAATAGATGTTTGATCTTGCAATTTGAGTATATTCATTTGAAAAGTGTTTCTTGGGTTTTGCCACACTGATGTTTCTCAAAATTAGTATGTTTCATTATTTCAATAGATTTTTTTCTCTGACAGCACAATAGTGACAAAAACATCATGATTAGTTTAGTTTATGTGTGATAAGCCTTATTGCTACACTGTTTCTCAGAAACCACGTGCTATTCCTTCTCCTAGCTCCCTCTTTAGCAGGCCTCCAAGTCTACTCACATGCTGATCTCCTTTTAAAGTCCTTATAGGAACAATTTAGTTTTCACTAGTCTCTGAACCAGCTTTTATCTTCCAGCCTGATTTGTTTTCACTAGTCTCTGAACCAGCTTTTATCTTCCAGCCTGATTATATATACTGAAAAATACCTAGTTTTCCTTTTCTAATGTATTTTCACCTGAGTTTGTGACATTGCCTCCCTAGAGTTTACAGTTATCCTTCATTTCTCTGTTTTTCTGTATCTCTCCTATGGGACTTATCCCATAATATCTGTTTTATATTCTCAATTTCAATATAAACTTCTTGATATAGGTATTTTATCTTCGTAGTCTTCTGTCTCCCTAAATATTTTCACATTGCTTTGCCCACAGTCATTTTCCAAAAATGTTCTCCAAGAAAGATGTCTCTCTCTCTCTCTCAACTTACTTGCTCTGCTTGTTCTTTGCAATTTGGTAGTAATAAGTGCTTTTATATAACCTTCAATTCCAGCATTCAAGGAATAGATTCTTGGCTATATACTGCCTGAAAAAAAAAAGTCTCTCCCATTTTGTCATTGACTTAAAGGTTTTTTTTCCATATGAAGCTCTTAGCCAGGCACTCTGACCTTGGTAGCTTGGATTCTAATATTTTCAGCCCACATGTGTGGGATAAACCTCCATTTATGCCAGCTGTGCTGCAACCCTGCTCATGATGTATCACCACTTTCCTTTCGCTGAGGCCAAATCTAAGACTCAGACAAGGTAAATAGCTTGCCTGAGATTATAGGTGAACAAATTGTGGAGTTGGCCATGTCCCCTATAATATGCTTGATAAATTTGATTAACTTTTTGCCTTATGGTTTCTGTATAATCTCTTCCTTCTAATTACTTCCCCAGTATTTATTCATTGCTCTATTTTTTTCAGCACATATGTCCTTTTTAATTCTTACTCTTATTTTTCTGAGTTCTGATTTATACCTAAGCAATACTCATACTAGGGAAGTAGGAGAAAGAGATTTCACAGAGATGGTGGTAAGTGTATATGTATATAATTGAACATATAAGGCATTATAGGGAATTATGTAAATTAGAGTTGAAGGAAAACTATTGGAGGGTTATAGGGAGAGTGTAATACGATCTGACATTTTAAAACAATCACTTTGGCTGCTCTGTTAAAAATAGATTTTTTAACAGAAATAGGAAAAAGAGCAGTAGCTTGGTGAGCAGTTAAAGGGCCATTGAAATAGTCCTAAAGAGAGAAAAATAGTGGCTTTCGAGTGGTGAGAAGTGATCGTATTTATATTTATGGTATATTTCAGATTTACAGCCAGACAAATTTGCTGATGCATTGTATATAAGGCGTGACAGAGAGAAGAGAATTCAAGGACAACTCAAAGGTTTTGCACTGAGTAACTTGAAAATTGGAGTTGCCATACACTACAACAGACAAGGATGGGGGAAAGGGGTGAAATCAGAAATTCAGTTTTGAACACTTAATGTTTGAGGTACCCATTAGAAATGGAAAATGCTGAAGGCATTGTGAGGAATAAAAGCCTGTAGTTCAGGTGAGAGGTCTGGGTTAAAGAAACAATTGGGGAAGTGGTCTACTTATAGATGATAATTGAATCCATAAGATGGGATGAGTCCACCAAAAGTTGAAGTATAGATAGTAAAGCAAGTGGTGGATATGTGTTGATCTCTTCTCTCTCTCTCTCTGTCTCTGTCTCTGTCGTTCTGTCTCTCTCTTCTCTATAGAGCTGCTTAGCTCTTGAAGAACAAGAACTCTGTGTTCTATACTTTATGTATTCTCCAAAATTCCACCTACACATTAGGCCCCAATAAATGCTTATTGAATGCTAAGTGGGGGAAAAAGTTACCAGTTATAAATTACAGTAGCATTAGAAGAGGCTTAACAATATATATTGTTTCTATAATTCCCAAGAGGTAATGCTATATCTTTGAAGAAACAGACCATCAGAAAGAGTTTTCCAGTCATGTAGAGACTTCTTCAATTTTCTAAGAGGCCATCTGAAGGCTGCTTATGGGCAAAGAATACAGGAGCAATCGCTGACTGAAATGCCCAAACTGCAAATACACATTTCAGTCAAATGCAAATCAAGGATAAAAGAACTAGAATTGAGTGAATTTTTATCTTCATTATAGTAAAATTTTCAATCATTGTAGAATTCACTTAATGTAGCTATTATATAGATGTTTTAGGAGCTCTGGAGGGGAGGGGAATGTAAGCTCTTTGTTAATAAGAAGATAACTAGCTCCCAGAAACAGTTTGTCTCTATGAGAAGTAAATCAATTCTGGCTGTTCTCCTAGTGATTCTGTGCAGTATCAAATGAAATATAAAATGAGTAGGAGAGACACTCAGATGTCCTCACACTGCTAGAGGGAGCCTCTGAAGCCAAACTGCAGTCATCTCCTACCTGGACACAGCTGAGCCTTGTTAGGTCTCCGGATTTTTTTTTGTTCTTAGTTAAGAAAACCTTTACTTATTTTAAAGCCTGCCATTACAAAATTACCAAATTACAAAAAGAAAACTCAGGATCATTGAGACTTAGAACAACTGAAATCTGAAGTACCCAAATGGCAGGCAAGAGTAAGTCCGCAGTTATCTTTCAAGGTATGGCTCGTGGCTCTGCTTCCAAATATTCATTCTGAATATTTGTATGTCAAGTTAAAAAAAATCCTTT
Organism: Homo sapiens; assembly: GCF_000001405.40. Lineage (NCBI taxonomy): Eukaryota > Metazoa > Chordata > Mammalia > Primates > Hominidae > Homo > Homo sapiens. Next base: position 93,441,638 of record NC_000004.12, on the reverse strand, counting down.
AAATGAGGTTGGAACATTGATTGCTAGAGTGAGTGAATATTTAAAGGTTCCATTTGTGGTTTTAATGTTGTACTAAAGGATGTTTCCATTTCTCTTTAATATTAAAATTAACCTTTTCATTTAGTAAAGTATTCACCATTGCAAAAAAAGAGAAAGAGGAAATATATTATATATTGCATCAACTACCTTTCTAGGCTATAATAAATTTTTATTATTCTCTTTTACTTGTAGCATATTTCTCTATGTTTATAATTTCCAGACTAACGTAGACTAGAACTGGCATGTTAAATAAAAATGACCAAGCAATCTAAACACAATACCTCACAATTATGCCCATAGAACATAGAGAATTTCATATCCGAAATGTCTTTAAAAGTTATTTATAGTATCCTCACCCAAATCTGTAACCTCTTATATGCTTGGATGTTATCTTACTCATTAATTTTATCTCCAAACCATGATCAGGGATAGATGAAATTCTAGGTAACAAATGGAATTTCAATAGCCAACCGTGGATTTCAGGATTTATCTATCCTTAAGTTGTCAGATTTTCTCATCACAGCTTCAGCTGGATAAGCTGTAACCCACCAAATCTTTTTATTTGTAATATTTTACTGAAGTTTTGTTTGTCCTTGTCTATAAGTTCTCCTTAAATCTAAGAGCCATTCCTGGATGGTATCATTCCCTTTGGCAAATGTTCACTCTCTGTTCTTTAGTTTTGATTCAAGACTTATTATTCACCACTTATCTGCGCTTGCCATCTATTAGGCCAAGTACTTAATGATTCAAGTTCTTTATCTGATTGAATTGCTCCTTGCTGTTTGCAATGTCTGCCAATTAAATATCACCTGCAAATTTAGAAAATTGCTCCTACAGCCATTCACTAAGTCATTTGCATCTACATAATTTATTTCCTTTCACAGATCTCTCGTTATCCTTTTCCTTCATTAGTGTTAAAATCCTTCCTTATCAACAACAAATATTTTTGGCCATGTTTTCCTCTTGTACTTATATACAAACAGGTTGTATGATCTCCCATATCTATATTTTAGTTTCATCCTATATGCATATCCAGTGGATTTTGAACACTTACCATTCAGACGTGCAAACATGTATTCTTATGACCACATGTATTTTTTTTAACTTCCTGCCTGTGTACAGCTGACATACTCTGGGAAACTCAATCTGTCTATTATTACTTGTTTAATCTCATGTAAGAATGAAAGTCTTAGCCACTGTCCAATTTAAAGTCTCTATAAGGGCTTCCCTTCTTTTTACGTATTTTACTCTGGTCCCCTTTGCAAAGCTATCTCCTCATTTCACAAGGCCTGCAAGCATTTATCACTGGGCAGTCACTGGCAGGTGTGTTGTAGCAGGGAGGTTCTTCTTCGGTGGGCAAAGTTTTCTTGGCCCATACATATATTTTCAAGGCTGGTTTGCAGTAATGAAAATATGTAAGACTCTTTTGTGTGATCATGGAACATTTTTGATGGCTTTCAGGCACCCAGCTGAGAACCCTTCTTCATTCACAAGCGTTGCTCCTCATAACAGGACCTTCTCCTGATCCCAGTGGGTGGTGGGCTCTCCCTGCACAAGGAGGCCATTTCCTCTGGTCTTTGTCCTTGCCAGCTCTTCCTCCTTCTCTAGACTGTGGGAATCTTAGGTGTTCTTGCCACCCTAAGTTTGACTACCTAGGAAATGGTGGGTCAGAATGGTGGGAATTGTGCCTCCCTGCAGCATGTTCTGCTGGCATAGAGAGATAGGCTCGACTTTATGGGAAGAATGCCTGATCCTTCCCAACTGCCCCTGGCATGCCCCTCTCCAGTGTGGGTGGAAAAGGGGACAACTCATCACATTCTCAGGTTCTCTGAACTCTCTTCCCAAAGTTAACCCTCTCCTCCCTCTAGTTTTTAAATTATTTCCCCTCGCAGCAAAAATAATTAACACCTGTTCTCCTTACCCATGCTCAGGTGGAACAATTTAGGACCTTAAATAATCATTCTGTGCATGATCTTCCTATTAATCCAACATTCCCAATGAAGTTTTTATAATGGAAGTGATGGAAATACCTATGTTTCCTAAACTTTTAGAAATTCTCAACATTATTCACTTGGGTTCCAGATGCTCACTGACTAATTGTTCCTAGACAATTCCATGAGAATGTTCCTCAGGTACCACAAAATCAAAATGCCTATAGCCAAATTCTGTGTCCCTGTTGCCCTTTTCCAATCTGCTTTTCCTTCTGCATCCCCTATTTTTGTTGTGGAGTGTCCATCTGCTCATTTTCCTCTGCTAAATTTCTCACCAAGTCTCAACCCTTCCTTCTTTTCTCCTCCAAGTTATCAATTTCTATTATTATGCCATAGAATGTGGAAGTCAGTGTGGCGATTCCTCAGGGATCTAGAACTAGAAATACCATTTGACCCAGCCATCACATTACTGGGTATATACCCAAAGGATTGTAAATCATGCTGCTATAAAGACACATGCACACATATGTTTATAGCTGCACTCTTCACAATAGCAAAGACTTGGAACCAACCCAAATGTCCAACAACGATAGACTGGATTAAGAAAATGTGGCACATATACACCATGGAATACTATGCAGCCATAAAAAATGATGAATTCATGTCCTTTGTAGGGACATGAATGAAAGTGGAAACCATCATTCTCAGCAAACTATCACAAGGACAAAAAACCAAACACCGCATATTCTCACTCATAGGTGGGAATTGAACAATGAGAACACATGGACACGGGAAGGGGAACATCACACTCCGGGGACTATTGTGGGGTGGGGGATGGGGGGAGGGATAGCATTAGGAGATATACCTAATGCTAAATGACAAGTTAATGGGTGCAGCACACCAACATGGCACATGTATACATATGTAACAAACTTGCACATTGTGCACATGTACCCTAAAACTTAAAGTATAATAATAATAAAATAAAATAAAGAATATTAACTTTCCTCAGACTCATTCTTTTTGTTAGTCTCCTGTTACTGTTGTTTTAATGTAGACATTCCATTATTCCTCCCTAGATTGTTGAAAAAGCCATTTGTTTTTTTCTCTTCCTCACTCCAATGCATTCTCAGGCCTACCTCAGCTATCTTTCTTAAACGTAAGTTAAATCACATTTTTCTCTTTTGTAAAACTCTTTTATAATTTGTACTGGCTAAATGATAAAGTGCAAACTATTTATCAAGGCAAACATGCTTTTATAATTATCCCTATTGTTGCCTCTTATACTCCTACTCATCTGAAGACCTAGCTTAAATTTCTCCTCTTCTGTGAAATCTTTTCAACTCCCCAGGCAGAAGCTGCCATTCGGCCCCTGGGTTGCCATGGCACCCTGTATGTATTACCCTATGGCATTTTTCACACTGTGTTTTAATTATTTATCTACACATTTGTTTTTCGTGTGCACTTAGAGATCTTTGAAGGCCGAGGAAAAGTATCTTCCACTCCTTTGTATCTATGATGCCAGGCACAGTGCCCAGAATACAACATGCATTCAAAAACATGTGCAGATAAATGGATGAATTTAGGGCATTCTGCTGTGTGCTTGGCATACAAAGTAAACATAACCTTAGTCTTCTGATTTCCAAAACAGGGACTATGCAAAAAGAAGGTCTCTCTCTCCCTCCATCTCTCTCGTTCTCTCTTCCTGAGATTGTATATATGCCCATTTATAGATATAGATGTAGATATATATAGATAGATGTGTAACATTACACAAAGGTAATTTGAAAAGAAGTGGAATAGGTGTTCTCAGAGGACGAGATTACTAAGAGATGGGAGTAGTTTGAAAGCCTTATGGGACAAAGTGCAAGTTTAGCTAGGGTTGAGAAATGAAGTGAGTACAGGCAGTCTAGGCAGATTAAAGCTGAATGTCATCTAAATGGAGTGTGATTAAATGCAAGAGGGAAGTGAGATATAGACTGTACAGTATATTGCAGTCCTTTCTAAAAGTTTTAATTTTTTATGGAAAGAAGACACAGGTGTTTGAGAAAGAAGTGTGAATTTCGAGAAGTTTAGAAATGCAAATCTTTTACATCTCACCCCAAATCTTTCTCTATGTAATCTTATGTTTTGTCTTCTACTCATACTCTGTCTGAACTCCTATCTGAACCTTCTTCAAATATGCAGGTTTAAAAAAAAACAGCTCTGAACTGTTTGAGTATTGTTTTTCTCACTGACATGTAACTGGGTTTATTTAAATGCTTTGCAGACAAAACTGTTTTTCTCTGGAAACTGGTAAAGGAGTTAAGCACTTGGATGCTGGAGCCAAACTTCCTGAATTTGAATAATTAATTCTCTACAACTTGGCTATGTGACTATGGGCAAGTTACTTCACCTCTCTCTGTTTCATCATCTACAACATTGAGATAATAGTAGTACTTATCATTGTGAGTACTGAGAGGTAATAAATACATAGTATGTGAGACTGTGTCAGGAATAAGTAAGCTCTATATCAGTGCTAGTATAGTTGTTATTTGGTCAGTTTCAAGCTATGCTTTTAAATTCCTTGTGGGTTTTGTGTTAATTGCAGTGTTGTCAAATCTATTATTGATGACAAGTATGTCATCAAATTCTGGTGATGTTCTACTTTATTATGAAATACAACATATAAAATAATTCCAAGCATATATAACACATTTACATTATTTTGTAAAATAAAATATATATCAATCATATTTCATAAACTTAACTTTCTAAAAAATGATTAACTGCCCTTCTCCATTGCAATATATTTGCTTTCGGATTTATACTGCCTACTAGTTTCTCCTTTTGAAACTCTAAGTTCATATCTTTTATATCTATCCAGTGGGGTCTTAGTATTTTCTTGTTGATTTTTACTTCATGTAGCAGTGAAGCGGTGACACAAACAAGTCACCATTACACTTTTACAAATATTTTCTAGCATTTTGTTTGTAGTTTAATTTAGTTCATTATGATTTTGTATTACTGTCGATTTAAATTTTTGTGTACATGTAACTATTGATAGTTTCCTGTAACTTATTCTATTGTTTTTAAGCCCCTGAAGGATATCTTTTGTTTTTCCTGTTTGGTATCTACTTCCCCTTCCTCTGATAACAGCATCCTACTTTTCCTTGGGATTCACTACTCCCCGAGGCTTGCTCTAGGTGTTTTGCGTGTAGCTACCCCTACTCTCAGTGCTCCACCTGGGCAAGTGGTGTAGGCCTGGCATTGAGAACACTGCCTCCTCTTGAACACAATACTTCATAGTCAGAGCCAGTGAATGTTAAAGCTGAGGCTCTGTATTGGAACTGCAGGTAAAAGAGAATCTATGTTTATGTTGGGATAGATAAGAGGATGAAATCTAAGCCTAAGAGCTACTAAAAGTCACTTTACTGCCAAGAGAGGAGAGCCTGCCTGAGAACTGGGGCAACACACACACAAAAAAATCACAGCTGAGAGATGGAGCAAGCGATACCAAAGCCTGATGAAAGGAGCCTGGATCTCATCCCTGAATAGGCCAGTTTTGTGAGAATTAAATTATCTTTTCACTTCAATTGGATTGTCATTTGCAACCAAAGACACCTAATTAATTTAGCTTAGAATACATGAGCAGGTTATTTTCAAGATAGAGAATACCTTTTTTAAGAAATGGGGAAGGAGCAAAGAATTTGAAAGAGACTGAAAATAAAAGAGAAGTAGGGATAAAGAAAGGTAGAGGGGCAATTTAAACTTCATCTATATGCAGACTGGCCTCAAATGCATGTGTCCATTCCATATCCTTACCCGAACTCCAGACTCATATATCAGATTACTTATTTCATTTTCCATTTGGATAGCTCCAAAGAGGTATATCCATAGTTGTTAAGAGAATGGAATCAAACAATTTAAGCTAATATCCTGGTTCTTCCAGTTATTGGCTATGTGACCTTGAGCAAGGTATTTAAATTCTCTAAGCCTTGATGTCTTAAATCTACATAATGGGCATATTAACTATCTATTTCATCAAATTAGTAAGAGCATGTAAGGAGTCAATACCTGTAAAGCTTTAGAATAGCATCTGGGTATTATTACTGATTTCTAAAATAGTAGTTTTGATTCCGCATTCTGCAACTCCTGGCCAAATATTTCCTTCATTCATTTCTTCTGTGCCAATAAATGGTACCATTCTCAATTAACTTGAAGTAAAGTGAGAGTAGCTGAATATAACAAGCTGTTTAATTAATGGACAAAATATTTAAAATAATAGGAACAAAAGCTCAAAGTGTAGTCTTTCAACAAAGATAAAAACATTTTATATAAAGTCCAAATTTAGTAGGCTATAGTAGGTTAATTGATTTTATTAAAGAGCAATGAGATCCCATTGAATGGTTATTAATTAGGGGAGTGTTATTACCTAATGTATGCCATGTGGCCACCATTCATTCTTTTATGTACAAATATTTTCTAGATATTGAGGCTTCAGTAGTAAACCAAATATATGAAATCTCAGACCAACTTCAGCTTACATTTTACCAGAGGAAGACAAATGAACAAGTCAGTACATAATAAAATAATTGTAAGTGTTATAAAAAACAATAAAACAGAATAAGAGAGATAGGTAGTACAAAGGATGGAAGTTGTTCTTTTGAAGAGGGTGGCAATGGCAGTCCTCTCTAATAAGCTTTAAGCAAATGCTGAAAAAAAAATGAGGTGGACAGAGAAATATCATTTTAGGCAGATAGGAGAGACAGAAATTGAAAAGGCCAAGTTCAATGAGTATAAGGAAGTACAAGGGGTACCATAAGCTTGGAGCATGGTGACAGAGGGAGAGATAAAGAGATCACAAAGGGAATTGATTGGGCAGATTATGTAGACAATTTTAAGGACAGTTTTTACTCTGAGTGGGATGGAAACCCATCAAAAGTCTTCTAGCAGGAAAATGACTGGATCACTCTGGCTGCTGTGTTAAAATATATTGAAGGCAGTCAAGAGTGGAAAGGGAGAGTAATTGGACCTCTACGGCTACAATCCAGAGAAGAGATAATTGTGGCTAGGAACAAGATAGTGAGTGGAGCTGGGGAAAATGGAAATAAAGGCTGTTTTTTTTTGTTTTTGTTTTTGTTTTCTGCTGCTGTGGCTGAAAAGACAAAATTAAAAAGGGATGAGTTTAGAAGAGATTGTTGGCTTTGGTCTTTTTTAAATTTTTTTTATATATTTTTATTATACTTTAAGTTCTAGGGTACATGTGCACAATGTGCAGGTTTGTTACATATGTATACATGTGCCATGTTGGTGTGCTGCAACCATTAACTCGACATTTACATTAGGTATATCTCCTTAGGGACATGGATGAAGCTGGAAACCATTATTCTCGGCTTTGGTCTTTCTCTCACTTCCCCACAGCAAATCCTATCAGACTACCTTCCAAATATGTGTTGGATCTGTTACATTTTTAAAACACAGAACCTGAGGAAGTTTTACCAATCTATCCGAGTCAACAAATACAACAAGATCTATTTGTTTTTCCTGCAACACATTCTTGAATTCATTTTCTTGGTTCATCTTCACAATAGCTTCATTCCACTGATGTGGACATTGTGACTCAGAGAGGATTCAAAACTCTTTTAGGCTCACATGGGTATTAAATGTGTCAACAGTATCCATAACTAATGCCTTTGATGTCACTAAAGATGAGAGAATCATGGAAGGATTTTGAGGTTGAATATCAAGAACACAAGGGACTTACGCTAGATTCTCACAGCTTTTGCAGTAAACCATAGAGTTTAACAACTGAACATGACGAGGGTGTAAAAAATGAAGGGACTAGAAATTGAGGCTTGAAAAGTGTGGAAAATGTTTGGAATGGTCATGTGGGATTTAAATAAAAGGTCAATACCTAACGAATTAAAGGACACTGGAAAATCAATGAAAGTTCTATTGACATTAGCTACTAGGGTATTGAAATGAACTCCATCAGCCAAGTGTCATGACTAGCTACATCAATAACCCAGTGTGCGGGATCCTAGACAATAGGAGTGGGGATGAGCACAGGAGGCATAGAAAAAGAGCAAGAGCTTGAGCATGGCTTGGGCAAAAAATATACTTGTTTTGAGCTGACATGGCGTGGGAATTCTCTTCCATCATTTTCACTATTTATTAGGGGCCATGGAATTTTGCCTTTCTTAGATACTCAAGGAACCTGTTTTTTGTTATTTATTAATGAGACTCTATTCATGCTATCTCCATTCTTGTTTTGTTTTGTTTTATGTTGTCAATTACATGTGCTTTCTGAGGTCTCATCACCTCCACCAGACAAACCTCACAATAGCATCTTCTTCTCCTTCTCTGAAAACTTTGAGACCTGGCTAAATGTTTCTCTTCACACAAAAACTGACCAACCTCCTAATATATTTCAGAATCAATGTAGATATTCCTTACAACAATCATTTTGGGTCATGATTCAGATAGATATTATTTTCTAAAGCAGTTTTAGGTTTTCAGAAAAATTGAGCAGAAAGTGTGAATAATTTACCCTATTATTACTATGTTGCATTGGTGAGGTACATTTGTTACAGTTAATGAACCTTACAATCATTATTGGAGACGGATCTCACTCTGTCATCCAGGCTAGAGTGCGGTGGTGCTATCACAGCTCACTGCAGCCTCAAACTCTTGAGCTAAAGGGATCCTCCCACCTCAGCCTCCTCAACAGCTCGGACTAGAGCCATGCACCACCATGTCTAGCTAATTTTTTTTAATGTTTATTTTTTTAGAGGTGGAGGTCTCTCTATGTTGCTCAGATTGGTGTCAAACTCCTGGCCTCAAGGGATCCTCCCATCTTGGCCTCCCAAAGTGTTGGGATTACAGGCATGAGCCACCTTGCCTGGCCAATGAACCAATATCAATACATGATTATTAACTAGGGTGTACAGTTTACATTAGAGTTCATTCTTTCTATGGGTTTTGACAAGTGTATAATGTCAGCAGTGTATCCATCATTAGAGTATCATCCAAAATAGTTTTATTGCCCTGAAAATCCCCTATGCTTCATCTATTCATCCCTCCCTCCCTCACTCCATTTTGAGCTATTTTAAACTCATTTCTTTTGTTTTCTCTAACACTCTGCCATGAACCTCAAGGTCAAATTCTAGAACTTTCGTATTTCAGTCTCTGGTTATGTCTTTCTAACCTACTCTTTCATTTCTTCACTCATACTTCACCTGTTTTTCAACTTCATTTGATCTTCTAATTAACATTTCCAAAATTTTATCCAAGTTTATGTCTCTGATCATGGCTATGCTTCCTTAATCATTTTAGCTCTTCTTTCATCTCATTTAATTCCCTTACCAAGTTTATCCACCATGTCTCAACCTTGATATGAACATTTTCATCTCTGCTCCTAGACTTGGGCACTCAATCTCAGCTGAAGAAAGTCACACTGTTGTGTAAACTAGCAGCAATAAAAAAGTGTCAGTTTCATATAAACCTCCACTCAGTCTTTAGTGCCACTGATCTATTCTTTTATCTGTTCTGATTTAGCAGTCACTTTCCCTTTCCTCAATGTCTATTTCAATCTTCACCACTCTCCTGTAGACTGTTACATAATACATGTCCCCATCACTGTCAACATACGTAATCTCCAATTTTTATCAATAAATTTGAAGGAATAAGAAAGTATCTTTGTCAATTTTCCATTCTCTTGCCTATCTATTATTAACATACACATTCTCATTATATTATATTCAGTATCAAAGTAACATCTTTACCTCATTAAAATCAATTTTCAGTTTAATCATTTTTGATGGAGTTGAATCTGTTCCAGGATATTTATCCTTCACATATTAACTGACTTTCTTATATTACATTTTCCTTCTTTCTTTTTCTTCCTTAGCTTATAATTTTACTCAAGTCTCTGTTTTAACTTAAAAACAAACAAAAACTCTACCAAAACCAATGACCCTTCCAATTATTATCTCTTTCTTCCCCTCTCCATCTAAAATTTCTGAAAAAATAATACATATGCATGTCATTTTCACCTTTTCACATCCAAGTTTTTCCATCATCTTTTGCAGTCTGGCTTTTTCTCCCACTATGCTACCAAAAGAGTTCTGGCTTGGGTAACCAACAACTCCCAAATGGCCAATCTAGTGAACATTTGGCAGTTCTTATCATCAACATCTCAAATAGTTCTGACATTGCTAGTCATAGCTTATTTTTTGAAACTTTCTTATTTTTTTTCATAAATTCTTCTTATTTTGTCAATTCTTAAGTGACAGCTTTCTCTGGGTTTCATCCTAAGATTAGCCCAGTGATCCTCTTACTCCATGTGTTCTTTTTGGCAATCTGATGTACTTTCATGATTTCAACTACCACCCACAGGTTGCTGACTCCCAAATGTATACCTCCTATGGCACTTTCACAGTGAGCTTCAGAATGCTACATATCCAACTCACCCTATTCTAAACTGTCCTCCTCCTCTAAATCTTTTTCAGCAATCTCTGTCCCAATTAGTTACACAACCACCCTTTTATGTATTTGTACTATGAACTGATGAATTATTCCAGACTTCTCCCTTCTCCTCACTTTAGCCAATAAATTCTGTTTATCCTACCTCCTTTTTATCTCTGATTTCCTGTCTTTCATTCTCTTCACAACATTAGTATGGTAGGATAGATTCTCATCACTTTTTGCTTGGAGAGCTGCAAAATTCTCATAAATTTTGGCCTGCTTTCCATGCTGTTTCTAACCTTTCTACCTTTACTTCTACTCTTGTGTCTGTCAGTAGACGTCCTTCACTTTCTGCCAATCCCTCTTTACCTAGATAATTACTACCTGTTATTTTGTCATCAGGCTATATTTCTCCTCCTTCAGGAAATTTACCTTTACTCTACCTTCCTTGTTGCTTTCTTAGTGCTTCTCTATCATTGCACCTAGTGCATTGTATTATAAGTGTCTAGTTTAACCTCTGTGTTTCTCATTAAGACAAGATCTCTTCAAGGGCAAGAACCATGTTTTATTTATCTTTGTATCTCCAGTGCCTAGCACAGTGCATAGCACATAGAGACCATCAACAAAATGTTTTCATGATCAATGTCTATGTCTTATTCACACTTGCATCCCTCCATAGCACTTTGACCATGGCATGTGATTAACACATGTTAAGTGGCATATGTTTTGAAATATTTATAGGCAGGGCGCAGTGGCTCATGCCAGTAATTCTAGCAGTTTAGGATGCTGAGGCGGGCAGATCACCTGAGGTCAGGAGTTCAGGACCATCCTGGCCAACATGGCGAAACTCTGTCTCTACTAAAAATACAAAAATTAGCCGGGTATGGTGGTGGGTGCGTGTAATCACAGCTACTTGGGAGGCTGAGGCAGGAGAGTCGCTTGAACCCAGGAGGCGGAGGTTGCAGCAAGCCGAGATTGCGCCACTGAACTCCAGCCTGGGCAACAGAGTGGGACTCCATCTCTAAATAAATAAATAAAATAATAAAATAAAATATTTATAAAGCCTCCCGGTAAATATATGCTTTCTATTGTTAATGCATTGATGAACTAAAATACCCATCATAGGAATTCATTTACCTAGTAAAACTAAAGAATTGCCAAACTTTGTGTCAACCATAAAAATTAGGAAAGCTGTGTAGTCCCAAGCAGCTGATTTACTCTGTTTAGTCTTGGGAGCATTTTCTTTCTCAGAAAATGACATTATTGGCATTATAATTACTAAATAGTATCTTATTATACTCCAATATTATATGTCTACTTTCAAAAACATTCTTTACTCTCATGAAACCACGTGGGTGGGCACAGTGACAAGAAAAGCCTAGTGTTATACTAGAAGTTTAGAAATTGAGAGATAGGACTCTCAATGGTGCTATATTTTAACATGGAAACATCACTATTAATACTTACATGCTAAGTATAGTACTTTATCCTAATTTTACAGATTTATAATTTAGTCCACTTATTCCTCCTTTTTTTCCATTTTCCTGGGTTCTGGCTTTCTTCCATTGTTGGATCTATTTTCCTTGGGGAGTAAAATTCTTGTCATATAATTTAGCATTTGATAATCAGTTAGCATGAAGAGATTTAATTTCCAGGTGGTGGAAACGCTCAGGTAAAATTAGGCTGAAGGAACAGATTATTTTTAAATCCAAAACGACCAGTCATGTTCTTTATATAAAATAAATCTTCCATTGTAATAACCATCAAGCTTTTTTCTTCATATAAACCCCAAAGGAATTTTTTAAGTATGTATCTTTCTACATTTATAATTGACATATTAATTTTGCAATCATTTAGAAAATTGTAAAGGGCGCAATTTGCAGACAGTACTGATCATTACCTGTTTTCTCTTAAACCTATACATACCATTTTCTACTCTGCTATATACTGTGAGCCTTATAGGGATGGGAATCTGCAAACCAGATTTCCCAGGCTCCTTTGCCATCTGGCTTCTCCATAATTTCCACCTGAGGGAAACCACTGAAGATATCAGACAGAAAAAGAAAGAGAAGAGCCGTCTGCTTTAAATGGTTATTTCAGTGGCTGCAGCAGCAGTGGCAGTAGGCGATTCTTGATCCCAGCAGCTAGGGCACGGGCAGCAACTTTTTGGCAATTCCAGGTCTGATCAAGGGGCATACGTCTGGCAGATACAATCAACTGACACATCAGTAACACTTGATATCTGTGTTTTACTTTTTCTTTTTGCTTTTCCAATGTCCTACTCTGTTCATCCTTTGCTCTTTGATTCCTTCTAGCGCCTTTGTGATCAACCCACAATATTAAATTCTCCTCTTTTCAAAATTTTAGGAATGGTTTTCATTTTCCTGAGTGGGCGTCGGCACTGACATATGTATATTGTGTTGTAAATATTGATAACTTAAAATAATATTGTCAAGTCACTTTTAAAAATATATCTGTTAGAATCTAAATATCATAGTGATTTGACCTCATGCTTTAATAGGTAGAATATTTATATCATTTTATTTTATGCTTGAACTATATTTATATTCCGCCCCACCCTCACACAATTGTAATTCAAGTACAATAGAAATGTGTGTTTGAAAGTCTTTTCTTGATCACCAAAGTATTTTTGCATCAAAAATATGCATACAAATTAAAATTACAATCCTTTTTAAATAACCAGTGACTATAAAGTTTTAGGTATAAAATCTTTTTTTCTGAATTGAGTCATGATTCAATTAGTATACGATCTATGGATTCAGTGTCTATAAAAATGAAGTTTTACTACAAATGCAGCTTACAATGTTATGGATAGAGCCTTTTAAAAAAATAATTTAGATATCCATGGGTCAGTACTAATTATGGTTTAAATGAGGTAGAGTTTAGCATTAAGATTTAATTTCTGTATTTTTTTACTTTATAGAAATCTTTTCCAAACAAATTAATATATGAAAAAGGAAGTTTTTAGTTTCTATTTCAAAATGTCACTCAACACCTTGAAATTTTTCTGTGCTGAATATACTGGCTTGCCCTTGGAAAGTCTTCTAATACCCCTAAATACTCCACTTTAAAAGCTTCTGACTTGAAAGCCAGCCAAAGAAGAAACTATATCATCAAACATCCAACTGTATCTAATTCAGAGTTATCTTTGTTTTTAATTTTTTTGGTACTTCTATCCTAAACTTGATATACTTTTTATTTCTTATTGAAAGTTCTCTGTGGGCCTCTCTTCCCTTCTAAACTAGGAGAAAATAATTTCTCAGTTACATTAACTCACCCTTAAATATTTCTCCTGTACTAGGCAGAAGATATCTCTCATTTATCTGTTTCATATCTTTTGGCCAGATTTGTGTTTTCATAAATTTTAAGAACACATTAATTGCAGAAAATTATAAGAGTAGTGAGGCAGAGAAGGACTTGAGGAGACTTTACTATATTATTAGTTTTTAAATAGACTCCATATGTACATCATATCAATCATTTTCTCTCTCTCTCTGACTGCATTTTCCTCTCTTAAAAGTATGTATGTACTGGACCACTGACTTCTGGTTTTAATGAGAAAGCTCTCTAACATGAGATCTAATCACTGTGGAATAATCATATGAATTCAGAGCTCACTTTCCAACATTTCTTCTTTGACTCTTCTTTAATGTGATGGTACGTGCATAATCATTATGATATATATAATTGCACTATGTGAAACATTCTTTTAAGTTTGGTAGCCCCTTAGAAAGGCACACGAGTTAATCCTGTTAATTTTAAAATTCTTACTGTCTTGTACAGAGATATTTAGTGGCAACATTTATTTAAAATATACTTAGATTCACAAAAGTATGTATATTATCAGAAGATATAATAACAATAATAAGCTTGCTTTTCTGGAGCTCCATCATAACATTTTTATGCCATTTCAACGGTGTAATTTTGGTTTATAGGGGTAAATACACCTCATAAAGTTTGAATATGATGAATTTTCTTGGAAAGCTAAATTATTTTATGGTATTTTATTAAAGTATCATTATGTAATTGAATTAACATTTGTAATTGTTAAAAATTATAACTTACATCTCTACTGATAACAGTCAGAATACAGTTAAGGGAATGTTGTGTACCCTTAACTTGATAGTCATTTTCTAATGTTGACTGCTCTTTCCTTCTTGAAATGTTATTTTCTGTTGGCATTCATGACAACCCATTTTCTCAATTTTCTTTTAATCTCTCTATCTACTCCAACTAAGTCTTTTTTGTAGGTTTCTTCTCCTCCACCTGCTTAATAGTTTTCCTGAAGCCTAGTCAGAGTGACTAAATATCCGGTTGAACAAAATAAAAACCTAGTTCCAATGAATAATTTTATATTTTTTCTGTCTAAAAATCATATGTCTGCTTCTTTAAGCCTCAATTTTTTATTTGCAAAAGGACTCCCTCTAAACTATAAATTATCATACAATAATGACATGCTCTTACATGCAAATAGTACATTGAAATTGATTGTTTATGAAGAACATTCTATTTCTTGTGTATGATTGCTATACGATAAACTTATATTTTCAAAACATAGTATTTGGAAGTGATCTTACCATTAACATACTTGGACTCCTCATTTTTATAGGTGAAAAAGTAAGTCTCCAAAATTAAACTAACTAGTGTAAGCACATAAAACAAATTAAAAACAACATCAACATACTAATTTGAATGCTTTTTATGTTTAATTTGCATCTAGCAAGTGTAGTTTATTAGCATAATAACTCATTAAGGATTTTAACCACTATCTATATAGAATAAATTTGTATAATGCCTTTTCTTTACACTAATTTTAACGTAATTGCTAATCTGGGTTCAGATCAGGAAACAGCCCTTAGAAAGATAAAGGTGGAACACTGAATTTGTGACTTTTAAAAGAATAGAAGATGAAGGGGCACGGTTTTAATAAGAAGGAAGAGGACTGACGATTGCCCATTTTGTATTAAAAATAACGATATTAATGCTTTCCAATACAATTCTATATGTAACTTATGTATTAAATAGACCAAATTCATTAGGATTTTATAGAATATAGAAATAGCTTTATTATTTTCCCTACCACTGCCTTAAGAAACCTTTTATTTCTACTCTTCTCCATTCCTTACAAACAATTTAGGTTAGATCCTCTAGCCTTCTGAGTACTTTAAAGCATTTGAGAAATTATTCCAATTCTAGCAATGATGTACTAGCTTTTATTGGACTAGCCCTATCAGAATAAAAATTAAAAATTCAGGATCAAATTGAAAAAAATATATAGAAAAGACTGGAGAGCAACCCAAAGCAGGCAGAAACTGCAGGGTACCCTTGAAAATAATAACTGCACGGGGTAGAGCCCTCCTTTATTAGGCTTAGTCATTGAGGACCCACTTCAGTTCAGCGGGGATGGGGTCGACAGAGCTCAAGTAGAAAGTCAGTCTTATTAACTAACTTGTCAGAGGATGGAGTTTGAATCAGCTAGGGTTGCCAGAAATTGAAAAGGGAAACACAAGAAGGAGGATGCCACAGAGGAGTGAGCCCCAAAATCTGTGTATAAACTTTCTAAAATCCTTAGCTGACCCCTAAACTGCACATATATGGGAGAGATCCTAGGAAAATTAGCAAAGAGTAATGGCTAGAAGGCTAAACGTGCTAAAGAGGGGATTACAACTGTTGCCTATGACAGGGAAGATACAGATTGAATTTTGAGTTCCTTTAAGTCAGAAGGGCTTGAGGAGAACCACAGGCTTTCCCCAGAAACTCCAGAAGGTTATATCTTAGAAATATGTGGACTACGAAAACCAAGGGATTTGCCCTAGGGACCAAGATTACATCAAATAGACCTGCCTTAACAATGTTTAAAGCTAAATCTCCACAAATTCAAGAGAACAGATAGTGATTTAACTATCCACTGAAGCAAAAATCAATCCTTTTCAGAATATACAATTTCAGAGACATAATCCCAAGTCTTAACAATGTATCAACCACGAAGTCCAATATATAATCAAATGTAACCAGAAATGTGAGGAACCAGGAAAATGCAATGTATTCTGAGATGATAAGATGTTGAAATTTTAGCAAACAAGGACTTTAAAGAAGCCATTATAAATGTGATCATGAACTTTTAAGAAAAGAAAGTCATAACTGATAAAAAGATAGGAAATCTCAGCAGAAAAGTAAAAATTATTTCAAAAAATTGAAATTCTGGAAAGAAAAAATAAGCAATCTAGAATGAAAAAGCTACTGAAAGGACTTAACAAAAATTTGAAGGTGGCAGAATATCAGTAAACTTGAAGGCAGATCAAGACAAATTGTCAAATCTGAAGGTCAGGGAGTAAAAATATCTTAATAAAACAAGCAAGGCCTCAGTGACTTAGGAGACAACATTAAGTGATCTAACTTGAATATTCTCTGAGCCTCAAATCAAGAAGAGAAAGGAAAGAAGGTAAAAAAAATTGAAGAAATAATTCTCTATATTTACTAAATGTAACCTATCCCAGAAGTTTAGTGAACTCTCAGCACAATAAATGCAAAGAAAATCATATCTAGAACATCATAATTAAATTTCTAAACACCAAAAAATGAAGAGAAACTTGTAGAATGGCCACTAACACATACAAAAATATACTACATATAAAGAATCAGGATACAGATGATGGCTAATTTCTCATCAGAAATAATATATGGCAAAACTGATAGAATCACAACTTTAAAATGATGAACATTAAAAAACCCTGTAAATTCAGAGTTTGATATCCAGTAAGAATATCATTTTGAAATGAGGGTTAAAAAAGACATTTCAAGGTAAACAAAAGTTGAGAGTATATGCTACCTACGTAGCCCTGCACTTCAAGACACTCTAAAGAAAGTTCTTCAGGTTGAAGGTAAATTATACCAAATGGGAGCTCAAATATATGTAAGGAATAAAGAGCCCCAGACACGGTAGATAAGTGATTATATCCCAGCAACTGTCTTTTTTTTTTTCTTTCTGTACCTTTAAAAGACAATAAATATTTAAATAAAAAACTATGATATTTGGTATGAGGTTAATAAAATATAAATATGTGAACACAATATCAAAAAGGAGTGAGTACAAATAAAATTATATTGCTGAAAATTTATTACTTTTTATGTGAAGTAGTACAATATTAACTTAAGATAGAATGTAGTAAGTTAAGAAGGCATATTATGACCTTTAGACTAACCACGAACAAAAATACAAAGGGAGACAACTAAAAAGGCAGTAAGAGCAATAAAATCAAATACTGAAATATATTTAATTAACCCCAAGAAAAACAGGAAAAGAAGCAACAGAGAAAAAAATGGTATACATATAAACCAAACAGTAAGTTATAAACCTAAACCCAACTATTCAATAATTTATCAGGAAAATGTAATAATTATAAATGTCTATGTGCCTAATAACAGAGCCTCAAAAAACTGAAGCAGATTCTGACAGGACTAAAGAAGGACATAGAGGTTTTAAACACCTTTCTGAGAATTGAAAGAACAAAGAAAAATATATACATATGTACATACCTATCTTGATTAGATTACAGAATGAAATGATTAGTTTCTAAGCAGTGAATGTTTTAATTTTTTCCAATAACATCACATTTTTAAAAAGAAAACAATAGTCCATCCTGGCTAACATGGTGAAACCCCGTCTCTACTAAAAATACAAAAAAATTAGCTGGGCGTGGGGGCGGGCGCCTGTAGTCCAGCTACTCGGGAGGCTGAGGCAGGAGAATGGCGCGAACCTAGGAGGCGGAGCTTGCAGTGAGCCGAGATCCAGCCACTGCACTCCAGCCTGGAGGACAGAGTGAGACTCTGTCTCAAAAAAAAAAAAAAAAAAAAAAAAAAAAAGAAAGAAAAAAAATAGTACAAATTGCATGTGTAACTTACATTGTGATTTCATCACGTATCATATACACTTTCTGTTTTTGGGGTATAAGTTGAGCAAAGAAAAGGTCTTCTTCTAAACCCTTTTCTATTACAGGATATATTTTAACATTTAGGTTTATTTTGTCAACTACTTTTCTTTCCACAAAGTTCATAAAATAGTATTGAGTGAGACTTTTGTACTCAATTCCACCACCTAATGCTTAACCAACCTAAATACATCACACTTATTTTATATGAAATCAGCTTCAAGGTGTTACTGTTGAACCTTTAGGTATGAGACAAATAATTGAACCTTTAAGTATGAGACAAATAAATAAAGTAATTCTTACCTTAAAGACAAGTTCTCCTACCAAGCCATTCCATGTCCCATCTTCTTGTGGGCTTCCGTATTTGTGATCCGGTGCTACGTAAATTTCGTAGTTAAAACCCAGGTAGTTAGATAAGGCATCCAAAACATCAATGGAGAAGCCCTGGTATTTCTTCGGCTTACCCAAGACATTTTCAGAGACCATCACAAAAGGTTCTTCCTACATGGAAATAAGAGAAATTTCTGATGTCAATCTATAGTGCTCCCTAAAAGCAAAGATTAATTCTTTAAAGAGTTTTGATTAAATCTAAAAATTGTTTTATACTTTGAAAGAATCAACTCAGGAATATAACTTATGCATTATTAACGCATCATATTATTTAACAATGCTTAATCATTCAATTTCTTATCATCTCCCTTTTAATTATTACCATATCAAAAATTAGATAAAAGTAACTAAAAAACTTAGGGTCCATGAATTTATTTTTCCTGTCCTCGGAGGACCAATCTGAGACTCCTTAATAATAAATCATTCAACAAACTATAAATTTATCGTATCTATTCTCAGGAATTTATTGTTTGTAAACCATGTAAATTACATCCAATAAAATTTTAACAGCTATAATCTACATAAAACAATCTGAAAAGATAAAAAAATTCTAAGAACATATAATTTAGCTGAAATTAATAATATCGCATTTACTGGGAGTTATTCACTAAGTAATTTTGTGACTTTGATATAAACACACATTTCATTGGAAAAATAGCTTCTTTATGACTGATATGAGAAATTCACTTACCTTTTCAATAAACTGTCTAATTTAGTAAATTTAGCAAATTGGTTTCTGCTTCCACCTCTTTTATCTTTTCCCATTTTTGTCTTTTTAAAGCTAACAAATAGGCCCCTTTCACTTCTGAGAACACCTGGTGTTAAGAAAGCTCGATTGATTTGAAACATGCTGGCAGACTACAGAAAACTAGATAATCTATTCCTTAATTTTCTACATTTGTTCAGAAATCTTTCAGCAACAGTAATATTTACAGATAACCATTCATGGTGTATGTAGTCCATCCAGCCCTCTGGGCAGGCTAAAATTTCTCCTTGTATATAAGCCAGAATAGCCAAAGGTTTTTTTTTTTTTTTGAATGATTTTTCCTCAGAGATTCACAAAATAGCCTTCATAATGCTTTCATTTTGGCTTTTATTCAAAGACACTGTAAGTAGCTTATAAAATCACTGCACCTGTTATAGGAATATTGTCAACTATAATATACAATTTTCTCCCTAAAAATTGCTATGAGATAAATTTTGTAATTGTTCAGGGTCAAAGAGCTTCATTTGCCTCAGTAGTGCCTTTTTCAAAATGATAAAAAACAATGTAACCAATTATTGAGGTATTTCTTTTCATTTTGGATATTCAGAAAATCAGTACTAAGTTTGATGTTCATCTATAACTATGTTGATATTGTGGTATTTGTAACATTTCTTTAATCTTGGTTATCTAAGGTACTTACATTTTCTAATTTTGAAAACATATTTTAGTTTCACTGTTTATATGTTATCTTAGAGCAAAATGAACTAGTAAATGGACAGTTAGTAGAGTAGGTTACTGCTAGTTGTCCTCCAGAGGAGTTCTCTTCTTCTCTAATTATATTTTTTTATATTTTACCACTATGGAGAATAAAGACAATCTGTAGTCCTACTTCAGGCAAAGTGGCTTGCTTCATGGCCATGTGACTAATTCTGGCCAACGTGATGTAAACAGGGTGGTTTGTGCAACATTTCTTATTCTTTCTGCTACCTGAAAACTAGAAAGAACATACAATGGCTGGTGCTCTGGTAACTATCTGAGACTACACACAGCAGAGAAAGGAGAGAAGTCTATGTCCCTGACACTGAAAATGCTGTACAACACTTGGGCCAACTCGCCAAGGCTCTAGAATGTAAGAAAGAAAGAAAGAAATATCCCAGCACTTTGGGAGACCGAAGTGGGCGGATCACGAGGTCAGGAGATTGAGACCATCCTGGCTAACATGGTGAAACCCCGTCTCTACTAAAAATACAAAAAAGTAGCTGGGTGTGGTGGCAGGCGCCTGTAGTCCCAGCTACTTGGGAGGCTGCAGCCGGAGAATGGCGTGAACCTGGGAGGCAGAGCTTGCAGTGAGCCAAGATCACACCATTGCACTCCAGCCTGGGCAACAGAGTGAGACTGTCTCAAAAACATAAATAAATAAATAAATAAATAAATAAATAAATAAGTAAAAATAATAAATAAACAAATAAATTTCCATATTTTTTGTTAAGGTACCGATTTTTTTCCTATTATAGTAATATTTCATGTTAATGAATATTGAAGATCATTAGATCAGTAGATGAGAGGTTTTCAGAATGAATCAGATTTCTAATAATACTGACTTGTTTAAATGACATCATAATACAAGTGAAAAGTGAACAAGCAAACCTTTAATATTATTGGTAAAATACAACACATCTTGATATTCCAAATATTCATATATTTAAAGTACATAATAAAACTTTACACAATTGGCAGAATTTGCGACATCTCATTTGGTTGTTTGGACAACTTATAGAGCTAGCCAATGATTACGCCTTGTACAAATACACTAAAGTTGGTCCTGAGGTGATTAGAATCAGAATGGATTAAAGGAATTCCAAAATAAAGATCAAATTCACAGACCATGTAAATAAGATCATAAAGTTCTATAATTAATATAGCTTTTAATGCTTGTATTGTGATATATGATGGCAGCAGAAGCATGTACTGATTTCCTTACATGCAACTCATTCATTTCTAGATTTTGAACATCTATCAATCAGCAAATTAATTGTAAGAGGATTCATGGAAGATATTATTTGACTGGCTCTTCTACCAATATTTGGAAGTCATATGCATTCTCTATTTTTCAGGACCTGCAAAACCAAAAAAAATCGGCTATGTTTATCAGTAATTTAATCACCAGGAAGTTGAATAACACTCTTCGATATGACACTTAAAAAATTATGAATTTAATTATTGCATAGGTAAATGATAGATGTGGCAAAAATACTGTCCCAATGTATATGTTGCTAAAAACTATTAATTCTTTTTCATTTTTAACTCATAACTAGCTAGACCAATTATTTAGTGTACTAAATGGTTATATTTTCTTATGTTAAATTTCTTTCTTGAAATGACTTTAATTCTACCTTTTAAGTAAATCTCTAGGCAAACAGATCCCTTGCACAAGTCTGCTGTCAAAATCTGTTCCTAGCAATGTCACCTATAACTGGTTAAAGATACAGAATAGAAATGGCTATATTAAGGGGACTTTCAAAATGAATTATTGATAACATACCTTTTAAATTTTATGCCCTAAATAAACTTTCATTGCATCCTATCATTCTTCATCTGGATCAATGTTTTTAAAGCTTTAGTTTTAAGCTCTATTACGGATTTGGACCATTACTCATAAATTCTAACTAAGACTAGTACTCTATGAGTACAACCAGCCAATATATTGGACAGGTAAACATAGCAAAAGAAATTTGGTTGAAGCTTTGGGAACTATAATAGAAAAGATACTTGTTCCTTCTCTGCAGTAATACTTAGCTTGTTTTGATCACTTTTATCTATGTACCTATCTCTAAAATTTATTCAGTCATTGATTTATCCATTTAACATTCACTGAGCAGCTAGCTACTGCATCAAGGTACTACACTCAATATAGTGAGAGATATGGTGTTAAGTCATAGATATTACTCTCAAAATAATTATACCCTATTAGTGGGGCATGTACTCAATCACTGTGCTCAACAAAAATATAAAGAAAGAAAAAGCAACACACACCATAACTGGTACTGACAGGACAACAAAGAAATACAGTAGAAACTGTAAAAAAAAAAAAAAAAAAAAAAGGAAAATCATGATTTTGGGGATTACCAGCTATATCTTTTTTAATAGATCAGAAAACTTAGGAAGAATCTCAACTCAAAGTCACACAATATGTTACAGAAGAAGGAGGCATCATAATCTGTCTTAATTGAAGCTTACCTCTTTGAAACTCTATTTTTTTCCACCTATGGATTAAAATCCAGGACTGCATAGTTTAATCTCAAATTTTAACACAATTTATGGTGGTACCCTGATGGAGGCTCCAGATTCCTGACAGAGAAAAACACAATCCTCTCTAGAAAAAGGTAATATTACTTTAGGTGTAACATGATTCCTTCAAATAATTTTTGAATATGATGTCCAAACAAAAATCAAAGAAATGTGGTGAAAAGAAATATTAGATTAGTGTAAAAGTAATTGTGGTGTTTGCCATTAAAAGTAATGGTAGAAACCTAAGTTACTTTTGCACCAACATAATAATTCTTCAATAATAGAACCTGCAGAAGAAACAAGGAACAGAAATTGATCCTCAAGAATTTAGATACTAGAATTTTCAGATGCATATTGGAAATATTATGTTTATTGTGTTTGAAGAAATGAAGGGCAATGCTTTTTTAATTGGCAGGAAACTGGAAACTACAAAGGAGTGTTGTTACGCAGTTGAAAAAGAACTAAACAAATTTGAGAATTAGAAAAGACAATTACCAAAGTTAACATATGACTGAGTCATTAATAGATTAGAAACAGATGAAGAAAGAATTCATGAATTGCAATAGGTCAGAATTAATATCCAGGGTGAAGGAAGAATAAACAAGAGGATAGAAAATCCTAAAGCAAGAATAAATAGAGGAGGAACAGAAAGTGAGGTAGTCTGATAATCCCAAGTACTGTCAAGCATATAAAGAAATAGAAGTGCTCCTATTTCTAGAAGTCGAAATAGAAGTAGGAGTGAATAGCATTCACTCCTGCTCGATATATAAATTTACAACCATTTTGAAAAATATTTTGACTTGTCTAGTAGCATACAGAGCTACTTATATACAAGTTAATATTACTTGGTTTTACGTATTACATCAATATTTATCTAGTATGAATATGCATGGCTAAGTCCTAGAAATTCCACTCCTTAGGTATGAATACAAAAGAATACTGGGCACCAAACTATACATCCAAGAATGCTCATAGCACCCTTGTCTGTAATAGCTCAAATGTGGAAACAATCTAAAAATCCAAGTGCCCATCAACATGGAAAAGATAAATATATTGTGGTACATTGATGCAGTGGAATACTAAACAGCTTAAAATTGAAGTTAACTGAAGCTGTACCCTAAAATGAATGAATGTTTAAGAGAATAATTTGAGTGAAAAAAGCAATAGCCAAAGAAAGCAGATTTTGATTCCATTTACATAACATTCAAAAATGGGTAAATTGACCATATTATTTAAGAATTCACACGTAGCTGGAGACAATCTAAAGAAAATAGAGGAAGTGATTATCTCTGGGTGGTTAGACTCTGGGATGCTGGGAAGGGTCTGATCAGAAAGATGCACTGGGGAGGTGGTTTCTGTGGTAATGACAATCGTCTGCTTTTTGCTCTGAGTAGTGTTTTCTGGATGTTACTTTACTACTTATTAATTAATGTTTCATGCTTTTTTCTGTATACATGTTATATTGCGATATCAAATAAGGATAAAAATATGTAAACTGCAAACAGATAATGGAGGGCAACGAAGCCATATTAAAGTGTCTGCTATTTACTTGACAGGGAATTGAAGATTTTGTGGAAGGGAAATGGGATAGTAAGAAAGTAATTTTAAGAGTAGAGTGTAGAATGGATTATTACAAGAGAGGGGATTAGGGGTCCTTTGCAACAGCCCAGATGACAGGAGATTATGGCTTGTGCCTATTTAACATATATTTTCAAAGTGTGAGTAGATGGCTTTGAGTCTTCCTTTATAGGGACAGAAGGGAAAATAATAAATGATAAAATCCTGTCATTAAAATTCATTTTCCAGCAATTAGTTTCAAAGAGTATTAATAGGACTTGAGTCTAAATTGGTGAAAACCTGTCTGCCTATTAAATGAAAACAAATTACAGGTTATGATTTGCTGATCATTTGCATGACAGATGCTCTAAGCACAAGCCTCAGCAACTGGAACAAACGAAGCTTTCAGAGAATGTCTGTGGTTTATCAATCTAAGTACATTAGCATGAGGATCCACAGACCTGCTTGTAGAAAAGGGTGTTTCAGTGGCTGATAATTTTCATATTAGCAAGGATTTATTCACATCACTTGTTGGGTTATTAGATAATAACTTCATGATTCTGAATCTGTATTCAGTCACTTAAAAAATCTCATGATAAATGCTTAGTTGATTTACAACACTGTTTGCAACTTGCAGATTTTGCCGTTAATTCCTATATGTTAATAACTAAGTAATATTGTTTGCTAGTGATGGCGTTGGAAAAAAGCATCTGACATTTTTGATAGGTACAAGCTACAAGCTCTACTGCCAAGGCTTTACTGAGAGCTGTTTAGAGGTTTTAATATGCACGACTACAGAATGCCAGGAAGGCCAAAACTAAGAATGAGTCACTGGAAATTCTTTATAATTCTGCTCACATATGTAGCTCAAAGACATTAAAGAAAAAAGAGACTATTTCTTAATGGCTTGTTTAAAATATTTTTTCCCTAAAACATACTCCTGGCTGAAGCAAACAATAGTTGTCTTTATGCATGGTGTGAGCTTATATTTTGCTCAAAGATGACACATTCCATTTTGATATATGCAGAATTAATGGCCACTGTTCTTCTTGGAAAAACCTCACTTTTTTTTATAGAGCATATGTGAGTATTAGAAATGTTCACAAGTTAGGAAGGCCAATGGTATGGAATTTGTTAAAAGGAGATATCAAGACACCAGAATAGAAAAACAAAATAAGGAACAGCAGTAGAGGAAGAAACAATCCAGGTGTTGTAAAGAAAACTAGTATCTGAGTTTCATGGAGAGAAGAAAAGCAGATCATCGGGATATGCAATGAAAACATTTTTAAAAAGAGGGATTGCAGGAAGATTTTATGAAGGAGCAAATGTTTATAAATAATACATTAAACTTAGATTTTAATCTTTCCTTAAATGTTTTTACCAGACAATAAGATACAATTACAAATGATAAAAGTAAATAAAAATACTGTCATCCTAACTTCTTAAATCCTTACATCTTCTATATTATCTTATATATCATTTCTATTTCTATTCTGTAAGCAATTATTTAAATACAAATATTTTAAATTGAGCATAAAGTTAAAGCTATTATTATGCAAGATGATTGATTTTTAAAATAAAATATTTTATTTTAGACATTGCTTTCAACTAATGAAATAGCCACATCTTAGTGACTTAAAGGCTAAGTGGAGAGTGGACAAGACAATTTTTTTTGTACAAAAGAATTTGAAAGAAGCATAAGTTGCTGTAAGTGGGAATACAAGGTCACCAAACACATTAGGCAATTACAATAATCCTAAGTACCCTAGTTCTCATTTGTTGGTTCTGCCTGACATTCATTTGAAAATACATTTTGGAGACTAAGATTTTATGAACCACATGATCAACCTTTAGGAACTGAAAAATACCAAACTCTCAGACTGCGTTTTGAGTATGAGTGCTGGATAATATTTTTTGTTGCTTGTTTGGTCCAAGTTTTCATTATATTAGTAAATTTGACACTTAAGTGAATCTTACATGTGTCTATCCACATGCATGAGTAAATTATATTCTCTAAATATTTGTTGAAAGTTTTCTAGGTACAAAGAACTTTGCAAGTGCAGTTATCTTAAAGAAAGCTATCAAGAAATACATTCGAGATATAACATATTGCAGCTGTAAGGAGTGACTGGCTGTACCAAATGAGAGAAGTCTGCAAGTATTTAATGGAAGACTTTGGCAACATTTGACTTCAGAATGGTGATGATATTTACAAACACTGGAGTTGATGAATCATATTTCTGTTAAAATATTATAAGAAGTAGTAATGTTAATAAATGTCAACTGAAACTTATGATATGACATTATCTGGATATAGAAGCATTTAATAAATGTAAACTAAAGCTAATTAAATATTGGAATGTAGCAGAAAGCCACACAAATATTAAAGATAAAAACCATATAAAACTTGAAAATGTTTCAGGATTAGTGGCATTTCTATCCAAAATAATATTACTTATAGGGAAATAGCAGAAATTCAGATATTTATTCAGTCATTCAAAAGAGTGTTAATGCCAGGCACACACTAAGAATACAGCAGTGAACAAAACAAACAACAAACGAACATTTCTATTCTTCTAGACCTACATTTTAGTGGGAGTGACAGACAACAAACAAAAAAGGAAATATATATATATATATATATAAAATGTCAGATGGTGATGATAGGTGCTGTGAAGAGAAATTAAACAAATAATGAGAAGAAGGCATATGTGAGAAATGATTGTACCTTCAATTAGAAAGCACCTCTGTAGAAACAGCATTCAGACAGAAGAAAGAGTAAGTATAAATACAGCAGTTAAGAGTCTCTGACTTGTTTAAGAGACAGAAGAGACACTAGCGTGGCTAGGACCAAGGAAGCTAGAGCCACATATTAGGAAATATCTGAGAGGCAATGTATTTGGATGGGGCAGAGCTTCACTAGAGTCTTTAGGCCACTATGATGATGTCAGCTGTTACTTTGACTAAGATAGGAAGCCAGATGGGCTCTGAGCAGAGGAGAGACATGATCAGATATATTTTCACAGTTTACTAGACAGTTGACAGTTACTATTGACAATAGACTGGAAGAGGCAAGTGAAGAAGCTGGGAGATCAATTAGGAGCCTTTTGCAATAAATCAGAAGTGACTTGGCAGTAAAATGGATTTAATAAGACATAATTGGATTCTAGGTAATTTTTGAAGGTAGAGCTGATGAAATTTGTTGATATATTGGATGTGGGGTTATAAGAACTTAGTGAGAAGTGATGCAACACCATCTCATACTTCCTAGAGGTGCTCAGTGGAGGCATCAGTCTTTGGAAGAGTATTAACTTCTGGGACTGTCCTTGACTGATTTTTAGTTGGAGTATGTGTCATAATAATTCTATTAGATGAACTAAAGCTTTCAATCAATAGACTAAAGTCCTCAAGGTGAATGTTCAATATGGAACCAAAGACAGTATTCTGTAAAAACCTGCAGCACTGAATACAAAATTAACACACATTCAAATTTAATGGAGGAAAGCATTAAAATGTATACTTTCTTTTTTATCCCTACATAATTGTGACTTAGAATTATTTAGAAGAGAAATATTATTTATGAGAAGAAAAAATAATTAAAGTCATAATCTTTAAAGCTTAAATTTTAAAAAGACAAAGTTTAACAGCAACCATTGAGGGTGAATTATTTATTGTTTTGCTCTCTTAACATACCTTTGGGGAATACAAATTAAAATAACAAGAACTATTTAATTTATTGCTTATCTGACTGGCAAGGATAAAAATGAATGTTAACATTTATCAGCAAGCATGTGAGAAAGTAGACTTTCTCATGCACTACTTATGTGAATTAAAATTGGTAAAAGTTTTCCAGAAAACAAATTCACAATAAAAAAGTGAAAGCCTCAACCCCATAAAAAAGTGGGCAAAGGATATGAACAGACACTTCTATAAAGAAAACATATATGTGACCAATAAACATATGAAAAGAAGCTCAACATTCACTGATCATTAGAGCAATGCGAATCAAAACCACAATGAGATATTATCTCACACCAGTCAGAATGGTGATTACTAAAAAGCTGGGAAACAGCAGATGCTGGCAAGGCTGTGAAGAAATAGGAACGCTTTTACACTGTTGGTGGGAGTGTAAATTAGTTCAACCATTGTGGAAGGCAGTGTGGCGATTCCTCAAGGATCTAGAACCAGAAATACCATTTGACCCAGCAATCTCATTACTGGGTATTTACCCATAGGATTATAAATCATTCTACTATAAAGACACATACACACAGATGTTTACTGCAGCACTATTTACAATAGCAAAGACTTGGAACCAACCCAAATGCCCATCAATGATATACTGAATAAAGAAAATGTGGCACTTACACATCGTGGAATACTGTGCAGCCATAGCAAAGAATGAGATCATGTCCTTTGCAGGGACATGGATGAAGCTGGAAGCCATCATTCTCAGCAAACTAACAAATGAACAGACAACCAAACACTTCATGTTCTCACTCATAAGTGGGAGTTGAACAATGGGAACACATGGACACAGGGAGGGGAACATCACACACTGGGGCCTGTTAGTGGGGTAGGCAAGGGGAGGGAGAGCATTAAGACAAATACCTAATGCATGTGGTGCTTAAACCCTAGATGACGGGTTGGTAGGTGCAGCAAACTAACATGGCACATGTATACCTATGTAACAAACCTGCGCATTCTACACATGTATCCTGGAACTTAAAGTAAAATAAAAGAAAAAGAAAAATAAAAGTGAAAGGCTGTAAATTTTTTATATTATCTCATCTAATAATTGTACATCTAAATAATCATAAATGAGCATAAATGTGCACAAGTATATATTTTTAAAACGTTCATTGCAAGTTATCTAGGAAGAAGTTGAAAACAACCTAAATACGCTACAATCAGAGATGGGTTTTGTTTTGCTTTAAGATATGGGGTCTTGTTATCTTGCCCAGGTTGAAGTGCAATGGCACAATCACGGCTCATTACATCCTCAACCTCCTGGGCTCAAGCAATCCTGCTTCAAACTCTTGAGTAGCTGGGAATACAGGCACACACTGTTATGCCTGGTATTTTTTTTTGGGGGGGGGGGATGGGTCTTACTATGCTGCCCAGGCTTGTCTCAAAGTCTTGACCTCAAGTGATCCCCAAATGCTGGAGTTATAGGCATGAGCCACAGAACCCAGCCTGGGGCTTTTTTTTTTTAAGTCTATCTGTATGACACAGCACAGCACATTGGGCTGTCAACTTCAGTGTCTCAATGCCCTGTCACATAATTATCTACACAGAGTTGGACTATAGGTCATTTTTTAAAAAACCAAGAATAGCATTTTGAAGTTCGGGATTGGTTTGTTTTTTTCTTTTTTCTTTTTTTTTTTTTAATAGAGAGATTCAAAAATATCTCTGTAAAGACATTAATTTGCATTTCAACATAGTTCAGGGAATGAGAAATAAAACTGTCAACAGTTAGAAGGCTGGGAATTACATACAACCCTAGATAAATTAATAGACATTTGAGGCAGCTGTAGAAATTATTCACTAAGTGGCTGAAAAAATCTACTGATCACATCTGTTAAAAATATCTATTCACAGCTGGTCACGGTGGCTCATGCCTGTAATCCCAGCACTTTGGGAGGCCGAGGCAGGCAGATCACGAGGTCAGGAGTTCAAGACCAGCCTGGACAACATAGTGAAACTCGTCTCTACTAAAACTACAAAAATTAGCCAGGTGTAGTGGCATGCACCTGTAGTCCCAGCTACTCTGGAGGCTGAGGCGGGAGAATCGCTTGAACCCGGGAGGCGGAGGTTGCAGTGAGCTAGGACCACGGCATTGCACTCCAGCCTATGTGACAGAGTGATAGAGTAAGACTCCGTCTCAAAAAAAAAAAAATCTATTCAATTAAAAATACTCATTTGCATATTGCTAAATGGGAAGAAAATGTACAAAGCTACATTTTTGAATTTGAAACATGTGTGTACATGTTTGAAATTGAAAAAAATAATAGCAGCAAATATTCATATGGAACTTAGTATGTGCTGGGTACTTTAAAAACTTTTTGTGTATTCATGCTCAATAGTTTTATGAGTTTGGGACCTCAATTACCTCAAATTTTATAGATAAGGAAATGTAGTTAAGTTTAGCTAGTGGTAGACACTAAAATATTAGCAAGTAACTTTTGATGGAAGAATTATTTATGATTTTGCTGTTAATTTTTGTTTTCCATATTTTCTGTTTTTTTGTCATTAAATATAGAATACTTTTTTCAATAGTACTCGTGGATAATGAGTCTGAAGCAGGAGAGAGAGGCTAGGGTTGGAAATAAAAATTTGTTTATAACTTTCTAGAAAGTAAATGAAGTCATTCAATAAAGTATAGTGAAGGCCAGGGATGAAACTCTGGAAGAAGAGAATCCAATGAAGGAGGTAAAAGGAATAGAGAGGCCGGGCACTGTGGCTCACGCCTGTTATCCCAGCACTTTGGGAGGCCAAGGCGGGAGGATCACCTGAGGTCAGGAGTTCGAGATCAGCCTGACCAACATGGCAAAACCCTGTCTCTACTAAAAATACAAAATTAGCCAGGCATGTTGGCGCATGCCTGTAATCCCAGCTACTTGGGAGACTGAGGCAGGAGAATCACTTGAACCCAGGAGATGGAGGTTGCAGTGAGCCTAGATCATGCCATTGCTCTCCAGTTGGGGCAACAAGAGTGAAACTCTGTCTCAAACAAACAAACAAATAAACAAAGGAATAGAGAGGTCAGAATCAGAAGATGTTGAAGATGCAAGAGAGGACAGGGCTTCTGGGAGTAAATTGCCAGTGGATTCCAATGGAGGTGAGAGGTCCAGGAAGGTAAGGTCTGAAAGCATGCATTTAATTTGTCACGTAGAAGATCATGAAGACAAAAAAGCAATTTGTTTGGAGAAGTGAAAATAGAAGCCAAATATCAATGATTTGAGGATAAAAATAAATGACAAAGTGAAGACAACTGAAGAGTCTGAGACACTTACACGAGAAAAGAATTGGTAGAATAAAGGAGATTCAGAGCAAAAGAATGCTTTTTTTTACCTTGAACATATTTTCAGGCTACAGGAAAAAGCAAATAAAAACAATAAAAAGCTTACTTTATGCCTGTCATCATCCTTATCACTTTACGTTCATTACCTCATTTAGTTTTTTTATTTTTTGGTATTGTTATTGTCATTTGCAAAGGAGAGAACTGAAACTTGAGGGTAGATAAATAATGTAAAAGTATATAATATAGTTCACATAACTTGAGTTAGAATATTGTGAAATTTTCTAAACCAATATTGATTTGATTATGGTAGTCAGTCTACCTGTTTTTTATATCTTTGAATTTGCAAATGACTCTGTCGATCTCTCTCTAAACTTCTAGAGACAAGTAATAAATCTGTTTTCAGAAGTAAACTGTATAACACATCTCTGAAATATTTACTCATTGTTTAATCTAAAAATGCAGTTTCCAGCTTCCAAGAGGAAAAAAGTTTGAAGTTACAAAGCTAGTAAGAAAGATTGAAATTTGAATCCAATGCCCTCTGGTGCTGAAGTTCATATTCTTAACCATTAATTTAGACTGCCTCCATCAGTATATGGGTATGCATGTGTGTATACTGCAGGTTGCAGAAACTACATGGTTGATAAAGAACTTGGGGTACTCTTAGTCTTTGACATGGTCGTGTCAAAATCTCTCTCTCAGTGTGTGTGTGCCTGTTGCTTTCTCTTTCTCTCTTTCTACTATACCTAAAAAATGCTTTATATCTAGAATAAATCTACTTATACTTTCTCTTTTTTTCCAAGCCACACTTCAACTTTCATCAGCATATTGAAGGAATCACAGTTTTAGCATAAAGATTAAAGTGAAAATATTTGAAATCTGATCTGACTTTCCCTTACCTAACTAAAGCTGACACTACCCCCAATACAGCTGCTATTAACTCTCCTCCAAGAGCTTTCTGCTAATCCCAGGAAGGAGATCAACTACACATTGATGCCCTAGCCACACTTCCCTTCCCTTTTTTAAGTTGCTATACCAATCTTTACCTCTGGGTATTCAGGAAACGACTCATTATTGAGTGACTTCACATGCATGTGTAGATTAACCTTTTCTTTTCTCCTGTTAATCTGTCTATTATCAGTTAATTCACAGGCCCCTAAACATAGGAACCTAAGTGGGTAGAGGAAATGTTTTCCTCCCAATGGTATTAAGTCATTTTCCAGAGCAAAGAGTCTCTTCCCTAAAAGATGTGGAGAGAACAAGGTACATAATTATTTTGCTACCCCTACTCTATACCCTTTGTAGACACTACCCTCACTATTTCAGCCACTGGCCTGGCTGATCTAAGGTTTTAAGAATAAGGTGACAGGTTTTCTATTTCTAGTGAGATGAATGCTTTCTGAGGGATGTACCTTTTTCTTTTGATTTTATTATGAAGCACGGTGGGAAACTTAAAAGAAAAGATCTCCTGCATAGAGGGCAGAGACCTAAGAGTAGACAGCAGAAAGGTGCTGATATTTAAAAGCAAGAAACAAAT
The DNA here is from genome assembly GCF_000001405.40 of Homo sapiens. Taxonomy (NCBI): domain Eukaryota; kingdom Metazoa; phylum Chordata; class Mammalia; order Primates; family Hominidae; genus Homo; species Homo sapiens. The sequence continues at coordinate 93,408,772 of NC_000004.12, read as the reverse complement.
CTGCAGGGATTTACAAAAGAATGTGGAGACATCTGAACTTAAAGCTACAAAGGCTTTAAGTTTCTGTGTGTCACAATAAGCATATAAAGGAATATTACTACATATTATTAAGATTAATAATAAGGCACATAAAAATGACCTCTGTGCCAGCTCTTATCAAAAGGACTGTGGATCCAGACTGTAGTACTGAATTAATTATTAGCACATATATAAAAAATTAAACGGAGATTCCTATAATTTACTGGAAAATATAAAGATGCATATTTTTATTGCTATATTTTATTGCATAATAAATTGAAAAGCTTGACCTAAAATCAGCCCTTACACCTACCCTGCCTATAAGATCCTGCTTTCCTGCCTAGATGAAACAAATGTCACTTGCAAGTGATTAAAAAAAAAAAGAAAATGAGCATTAGTCCTATTTATTCTTGCATTTCTCAGCATATGTTCCAGCAGTGTCACCAAATGTAATATTACATGTATCGAAATGCATCTTAATTCCTGAGACGTGTATCGAAGTGCATCTTCCCTGAGACTGATAAAACAAAGGAGGGGTAATTTTCAAACGCTTTGTTTTTGATGAGTGTTCTGTTAAAAAATTCTCCTTCACTTTTAAAACAGTGAAAGACCTTGCTTTCAAATGCTAATCAGCTGCTTCTTTATTCCCCAGTAGACTTCAGACTACTCGGCCTCAATACTTTTTTCTTGAGTACTTTACTGACCATGGTCTTGGAGATTACATTTGGCTCAGAACACCATCCTAGCTTGTTATTTTTAATTGAATTGCAAAGTACATTACTCTACATAAGAATCATTGGGAAAATATTTAGTCTGAATATTTTGTTTTCCCAATTCAAAAATCATACCACTAGCAATGGTTAAAAATAAAAATGAAGAAGAAGGAGGAGAAGGAGAAGCAGGAGGTGGAGGAGGAGGAGGAGGAGGAGAAGGAGGAGGAGGAAGAGGAGGAGGACGAGGAGGAGGACGAGGAGGATGAGGAGGAGGAGGAGGAGGACGAGGAGGAGGAGGAGGAGGAGGAGGAGGAGGAGAAGGAGGAGGAGGAGGAGGAGACCTTCCAAACATGAAAAAAAAAAAATTCTGAAAAATTGTAAAGTTCCTTTGCTCGTGCTAACTTCCATCACCTAGAGAAACTGAAATTCCTTGCTGAACAATTTTAAACATGATGCAAGGATCACATATTCAGTTTCAAGCATTATGGACTTTTTTGTTTCTATCCAGGCTAACATAATACTTGGAAGTTTACCTGGAGATGCTGTGAAAATAACACCTTAAAACCAAAACCTCTGTATTTCGACCGATCATTAAAAATCCCAAGGAACATATTATAAAAAAGTATATTACCTTCCTTCCTTTGATCAGCTTTTCCATTTCTGGGACTTCCATGCAGTATGGTGGGTCTCCCCTTGATTATCTTCCCACCTCCCAGAAGGAGCTGAATTTTAATAGCATGTTCACTATTCCAGAAGCTGACAGATGAGTAAACCAGCCCCAGATTTGGATGCTTTTTGAAGATATCTATTCTCATTTCAGACTCTCCTAGAGTACCATGTAATGCAGTGGATAGTGATTTGATCAATGCTTCTCTATTGGTCAAAACCTCTTACTGTGCCTTTGAAAGAATCCAAGTTCCAGTTAGGGACTTAGTTTTTTCTTTGGTAAGGCTGCCATGGAAGACTGCAGCATTTTGGGAGGGACAGGAAAAGCATATGTGATTTGTCAAAATTTATTTTCTTTTGTGAACTGAAATCCAATCATGATGTTGCAACTTTAAGGTTGCTTTTCTCTACTGAGAAGGAAGATTTCCAAAATGTGAACAAGAAAAACTTTCTGTGACGTTTTTTCGTCGTTTACCCAATGCTAATTTATATCAGCTATGAAACAGCAAGAACATCAACATGCTCTTGGAGCTCAGAAGGGGAAGATGAGCGTGCAGCTTCCTAACAAAAAACTGGACATTTTGGGAGGTCAGGGAAATATGTAAAACACAGAAATAGCAAGGTGTGTGGGAGTATCCTACTTTATATCTATATAGATATTTAGATATTCACCTAAATTTCTATCGATCACTACACAACTCAAAGATAAATACATACTTTCTACATTTTCTTTTGAATTCTTGATACAATACGATCTCCCCAAATGAAACCTTTCTCAAAAATCATGTGTGAGCTCTGGCGATTGTTCTGATTCCTGTCATTCTTTGCCCACACTTGTAGAATTTCTCTCTAGCATTGATGGTCTAGTACTCAGGCAAGATTCACATTTCTGTAAATATTTTCCTGCTCAGCTCCCTCTAATTTACAACATATCTCAAAAATGAGATAATATGCGCCAACCACATCAGCTTTCTCACCCTCTGATCTCTACTTCGTAAACTCAGTGAGGCTGACAAGTTCTGTTTTGGATCCATACTTTCATGTCTCCAGTATGGAAACTGCCAGCAGCAAGAAAGCTGGGATAATTGTTGGGATCATTTAGTTGTTTCCAACCTTTTAGGTATCAAAGTCCATTTCTACCAATTGACTAATGTCTGAAAAGGTTTTTCCATACTTGGCTCAGTTTTATAGCCTTTTGTGGCAGGAAATTAGGCCAGTCCTTGTTAGAATCATCATGGCTGGGAGTAAATTAGATAGATAAGGATTCAATGCTTATTTTTAGCATATTTGTAACTTGAAGAAGTTATTTAATAACTCTATCCTAGCCATATCAATAAAATATGAAAAAAATTAATAATCTTAAAGGTTCAGTAAAGACTAGAGAAAATACTAACAATGAGATTTATTAGTAAGCTAGATGGTAATGTTATCTGTAAGCTTTAATAGCTACTAATGTGTTCCTTTGTAACTCTGAAATGTAAAATCTATTTCAGTAGCATCTCTCAAGTTTTTATTTATATTCATGTTCATTTCTGAAGAATTTTATGTGGAACTGGTTTTGTCTTGTGATTATGTTGAAACTACTGCATTGCCAAAAGATGACTTAAAGCTTCAAGGACACCTTAACATTATGTTTTTGTTCAGATGGAGTGGTACACTGCATTTCTGAAAGTATATAATGTAGTTCATGTAATTTCGGTTAGAATATTGTGAAATGTTCTAACCAAATATTGATTTGATTATGGAAGTCAATCTACCTACTGTTTTTATATCTTTGAATTTGCAAATGACTCTGTCAATCTCTTTCTAAATGTCTAGAGACAAGTAGTAGATCTGTTTTTCAGAAGTAAATTAGATAACACATCTCTGAAATATTTACTCATTGATTAGTCTAAGAATTCAGGTTCCAGCTTCCAAGAGGAGAAAAGTAGGGTCATGCATGGCTACCACATATACAATAGCAATACTCACACATGTCTGTGCAACAGCTATCATTTCAAGAATTGGTGTGATACAAAAGAATAAGAAATTGTCAAGCCATTGTCATGCATCAATTCTTATGGTGATTTTATTTAGTGAGCGCTGAAGTGAACACATATACTATGGTTGCTCTAAATTACATCATTTGCATAGGCCATTTTTCTTTAAGAGTCTGTTTATAAAAATCATATTTTCCCCATTCACCTAAGATGAGTACACTCAGAAGAAGAGACAAAACAAAATATGTACACAACACAGAGCTATGTCTACTGATTACACTGTTTCAATAATAAAAATGAGTACTATTTTACCTAAACTTTACACTGGATCAGAGTTGTAGCAATGTTATTTTTAACTTGGTGAATATTATTTACATCATACAATATTACCTTCATAGTCACAGAGAAATTTCTTACTGAATTGTCTCTAAAGGAACTCTTAAAAAAGAGAAGACATGACACATAGGTTGCTGGAATTTTCTGTATTTCAATTTCATATACTTCAGAAAATATTTGAATTTACTTTTAGGATACTTTAAATTCTTGATAGAATATCATATCTACATACTTCCGCATATACTCTTTCTAATGCTGGATATCCCTTCCCTCTTATCTATTCCTTGATAATCCCTGCTCATCTTTCAAGATGAATTTAAATATCATCCTTTAAGCCTTGCCGACTGCCTTACCCATAAGTTGGATACTTCTTTCATGCTCTCCCTTAACAGTCTGTGCATAAGAAGAATGGACACATATCACACTTTTCATGTGCCAGGTTCTGTTAGAAGGTCTTTGTTCTTTGCATGTACTAGTTATTTGAATTTTTATAACAGCTTTATGAGGTAGGTAATTTATATTATCTCCATTGTACAGATGAAGAAACAGAATCATAGAGTTTAAATACCTGGCCTACATTCACAGGTAGGAGAGGTGGGGATTTAAACATAGGCAGTCTGGGGAACCAGACTCTCTCTTTTTTAAAAAGTAGCTTTATTCAGATATAATTTACATAATATACAATTCACCCATCCAAAGTGCACAATCCAATAGCTTTAGTATATTCGCAAATATGTGCAATCATCATTGCAGTCAGTTTTAGAACTTTATTACCAGCTCCCCCTCAAAAATGCCACTCTTGTTAGCTGTCATCTGCCAATCTCCAAAACTTTCCCAGACCTAGGCAATCACGAATTACTTTTTGCCCCTGTGAGTCCCTATAGATTTGTCTATTCTGAACATTTCACAGAAATGAATTCATATAATACATGATCCTCTGTGTCTGGCTTCTTTCCCTTAGCATGCTTTCAAGGTTCATCCATGCTGCACACTGTTATCAACATGTAATTTCATTCTATTGCCAAATAATATTCCATTTTATGGTATACTACATTTTATGTATCCATTCACCAGTTGATAGACCTTTGGGTTGTTTCCATTTTTGGCTGCAATCAACCATGCTGCTATGAGCATTTGAGTACAAGTTTTCATATGGACATATGTTTTCATTTCTCTTGGGATTATATATACAGTGGAATTTGTAATCATGTAGTGACTCTACTTTTAACCATTTGAGGAACTGCTAGACTGTTTTCTGAAGGAGTCGTACCATTTTACATTCCTACCAGCAATGTATCAGCATTCTGATTTTTCAACATCCTTGCCAACATTTGTTATTATCTGTCATTTTGAATATAGCCATCCTAGTGGGCTTGTAGTCATAGCTCATTGTGGTTTTGATTTGCATTTCCTTGATGGAAAACTATGCTGAGCATCTCTTCATTTGCTTACTGACCATTTATATAAATATATCTTCATTGCAGAACTGTTCAGATCTTTGCCCATTTTAATTTTTTTTAATTTTGTTTATATTTCTTCATACTGAGTTATAATATTTTTGTATATGCTAAATATCACTTATGAGATATATGATTTGCAATTATTTCCAGAGAATGTAAACTTTTTTGTTAGTGTTGTTTTTTGTTCATTTCTTTTTCATTTTTGACATCTCTGCTTATTTTGCTGGGGAGTGGGTCCATGGAACTCCTCATTTGCCACCCCAGAAGTGAAACTGTGGGAACTGTGTTCTTAACCACAATGCTATCCTGTGTATTTCCATTGTAGGATTATTACATGGCACTTATCATATTTTATTGTGACTTTAAGTTTATTTTAGATATCAGCCCCTGGAAATTTCCTCAGCCAGAGTTGTCATTCTTGCCTGGAGTCCTGAACCAAACTTTATTATTTATTAACTCCTCCGAAGGAGCCCTCGTAAGACATTGCTGTGGGAGCCACCAGAGCTTGCTGTCAGCTCTCTTCCCAACTCCTTGCTGTGAGGGCTTGCCCAGTAGAGTCTCTTGACAAGTTTACTTTCCCAACCCCTAACCTTGCCTCCAGGTTCAAGAGGCTCAAACGCTGGGACCTCAGAAAAGCTTGAACTTTGAGGTAGCGATGAAAATTCTGAAAGTCTCTAAGTAGCAAACACTTGGACAATGTCCTTAGCAAAAAATTTAAGGACAATGACGTTTCAGAACTATCACTGGAGGCATTTGTTTAGTTATATATTAAAATATAGAGTCTATTTAAAGCTAGCCTGGAATCAAACACAGTTTATATGAGATAATATAATTGATATATAAACTTCTAGATATTTTTGAAAATCATAATTCAGGGTGCTTTTGTTTTCGGTGGTAGGTGTTTTTTGTGCATTTTTCCTCTAGGAAGTACCAGCTTCACTGGCAGAAGAGTTCCTGTGGTCCTCATTAGCAGGTTTTCAAATTGAGGTAACAGTGACGGGGCCTAAAACTCATTATTCTGCAGTTTACATTTGTTTGTCTCCCTTAGAGTCCTCCAATCTCCCACAAAAATCTGAAGTTTGATGACAATGAATAATTAGACTTTTATGATCACTCATGCTTTTTTTTCTTTACTGAGTTTACACATCATAGTTTTACTGCAGAGATAATGTATGTAGAAGCACTGTTCATTTTGCTACCTGCTTTCACATAGTTTCATCCAGTTAATATAGTAGTAACCCTTTGTGATTGGTTTTATTATTCCTGTTTTACAGATGGAAAAATTGAAGTTCAGAACAGCGTCTTGGTTTCCATAAATTCAAAGATCAATTAAGCAGAAAAACTAGTACGATACTAAAAGTCATACCTTTTGACTGCAAGTTGAGTGCTTTTTGCAGTGTGTGCCAAAGCTTCTTAGCATAGGTGTATTAAATAGAGGAGACTTGGTGAAATAAAGGCAACAAAATTGTGTGAAGTACTTTGAATAAAAAATGAATTATATATTATTTATTCCTTTGTTAAAAGGTATATTAAGAGGAAATTAAGTACATTGCTTTACTTCATGCTGATGTATATAAATAACTAAATCTAACCTAAATACTTTTTTTTTGTTTTTGTACAAATTAAGACTCTGGTGCCCATATATCAGTCACAATCTCCATAAAAAAAAAAAAAGAAATTCCAAAAAGTGAGACTAATGATGGATATTTTTTAGGAAAAAGAAATTACTCAAAATGATAACTCAGTAGGTGGCTGTCTGCTGCAGCCAGGCAAACAATCCTTCCTTTGGTGAGTTGCTTAGAAAAACCTACCATTCTCTCAATAGATATTTTGGATATTGCTTTGTGGTAATGATTCAAGATAAGCTATCTCTGTGTATTTCCTATTTCTGTGTATATCCTTCTATGATTGAGGCAACAGTTTTAATTTAGACAGTAATTTTTCTCATTGCTATTACTGTCCTATGTTTTCTAATTGGTATATTTCCTACTGCCTTTTCTTTTGGAGGTATTCTTTAAAATAGTTATTCTCTTTATGTGGCTTCTTGCCCAGTGACGTTTAACTTAACTTTCCAGGAATATCCATTAACTTAATTTGTAAAAATACCATACATTATTTAATCTAAAATGTTTCCTATTGTAAGATGTGCAACTATTTTACACATCACTAATAAAGACAAACATGGTGCTAATTACAATTGCAAATAGAAGTTGAAGGATGCATCCTAATTTTAGAGAGATTAAAATATGAAAAACTATGTTTTTTAATTTATAAAATGCAGAAAAATCACTATCACAGTCTTTACTATAGACTTCCAGTCATATATTTATATATGAATTCAATTTATATATTGAATTATTTTTATGGTAATTCTAGGCAAAAAAATGCTCTATTGTGTATTTAATGGAGAACAACTGCACTGCAGTTTTTCAAGACTATTTTGAGAGCTTTAGAAGATATCTTGCAAGAATCAAACTCCCTGGATGGGTGCGGTGGCTCATACCTGTAATCCCAATACTTTGGGAGGATTACTTGAGGCCAGGAGTTCAAGACCAGCTTGGGCAACATAGCGAGCCCCTGTCTCTACGAAAAATAAATTAGTCAGGCACGGTGGCATGCACCTGTAGTCCCAGCTACTCAGGAGGCTGAGGTGGGAGGATTTCTTGAGCCCAGGAGTTTGAAGCTCCAGTGAGCCATGATCATGCCACTGTACTCCAGCCTGGGTGAAGGAGTGAGAGCCTGTCTCAATAAAAACAAACAACAAAAAAACTCTCTAAAGTCAGGATCTTTGACTGTTTTGTGTGAATTCATGAGTGAATGTATGTTTATTAGGAATGTATATGTCTTTTTTAAGGCCAATCAAAGTAGGTAAATAAGAATTACTAATCAGTGAGCTCCTCCCAAATGCCAATTTATGGTTCTCAGATATCTTATACTTGTTGCAGCATAGCTTCGCACGCCTTTCTTTTAATTTGTAACCAATTCCTTTCCATTTTATTATCATATATATTATGATTATGTTTATAACTCAGTAATGTTTCCAATAGTGTTTTCATGAATTACCATGAAAACAATTGAATGACTTAATTGGTCATTTATTGCTATCTACATTGCATAACTCAGGAAGTTAAAAACGGGAAAATCTTCATAATTCCTTTGTAGTAATACACTTGGACCACTTGGTAAGAAGTAAAGATCAGTGGGCAAATTATGGAAACAAAGAGATTAGAAGAGACACCAAGTAGTAGAGACTGCTTTTATTATCATTCTTTCTTTTCCTCCATTTCTAAGACATATTTCTGTGGCTTTGGTGATGGTTGAATACAAAGAAATCTATATATGAAGAAATTTAGGAAAATTCTCCTAAGTTATCAATCCAACATATGCAATCCTCACATCTCAATAATTATATCAAATTTCATTTATACCTAACATGAGTCCATTCTGATTCAGAAGGAAGATTATCAGAGTGGCTAAGGACATGGTTTGTGGAACCAGGATCTCTGATCTTGAAATTTATGTCTGGCTCCTGCTAGCTATATGGAGGCAGAAATTTAGTTAACTCTTATGTACCCTATTTTTATCCTTATAATGTAATTAGTGCCACTCATATGAAATTTTATAAGGATTAAATAAGTTAATATATATAACCTTCTTATAATAGGTCCTATCAAATGGTAGATGCTCGTGTTGGTTTTTCTCTACTTTTCTTCTGGATTCACTGAGGGCTTCACTGCCTTCCTCTGTGTCCTGAAAGACTAACTTTCATGGTCTTCCTTACTTAGGCTCCCATAACCTCTGACTTCTGGTTGGATTTGCAGTTGGAGACCATGAAAAGAGATAGATAAGAGGAGTGAGATCAGTGTATCCCTTATTCCCAGTTCCTCATAGCCTGATTTTGGTATTGGCAGTGATTCTCTTTCTTTTTCTGCACTGTAGCTCACTACTACTATGAGTGATGGTCTCTCTCCCATGGCTCTATTGCTTTGTCTAGTAATAATGCTTCCTCCCATGCCTTATCAGTCTTCATGTAAGTCATCTAGGTAGGTTCTGGTGATTCAACACTCCTTGTTGATTCCTTTAACACTATTTACATCTTCGTCAATAATACCTCTATTTAACTCTTCAATGAAATGTTTGAGAGCACCACTTATTTGCCCATGGGATCACAAACAGTAGAGTGCTGAATTGTGTAGTTTAAAATAAATATGAAGTTATTTCTTTCAAGTCAATAAAATATCAACAGTCATAAGAATGGGAATTTCAAAATTTTGGTAAGAAAAATCCATTTTATTAACCTGGTGTAATTGATAATATAAAATTTCTTAAGAAAAGAGGGAGTGGGTAGAGCTAAGACTAGATTTCAGTTTCAATAGAAGAAAGGAGGAAATAGCTTCTTCCCATGTACACATTGGTCCTTTCCCTTTTCTCTTCTGGAAAGTGTTGGACGTAAATACTTGGAATATAAGGGGGTGGGAGGTTGCGTTTAGGTGACAACATCAAGTTGAGTATAGATTAAATCCTAGTTTCAGGGTTTAGTGAGGTAAAGCCTCAAGATTCGGGAGTTGCTGGGTGGGGTGAGGGGAGAGTGGTTCTCAGTGTTGAGTAGAAGAAGCTTGCAAGGCCATATAACTAAGAGCTAGACCTGAAAAGGCACTTGTAGAAAATAAATAAGAAGGGAATGACTGGTTTCCATTCTCAGAGTAGTTACAGAAAGACATAGGAAGCATGCAAAATTATTAAACACAATGATTGTATATTGTAGTAATGTAATAAGTATAACAACCTGTTACTCAACTGGCACCCAACTGATAAGTCCATCATAGAAGACTTGAAAAAAAAAAAAAAAAACACTGCTTCCATGTCTCCAGTCACAAAACCATATTCAATATCTGTGCAGGGCTAAGCTTGCAGGAAATAGAGATTATTAAGAGTCATGAAGGTGAACCTGGGGTATGCAGGTGTTAACACTGTGTGAAGTGCTACTATTTCATGAACAAAATAGCAATTGTTTTATTCAGCCTGGAAATGAATTTAACATGATTGTACCTACAATCCTTCCCAATAAAACTCACTTTCACCTTATTCAGACGTAAGCATTTTCAACTCTCAAGTCAAACAAAATTCTATAGACACCTCAGTTCTCACACTTATCACAGTAGGACTGGAGACAGTATAATGTATCATTAAGAGGGAAGGGGTTAACGTCTAGAATCTGTCTTCCTGAATTTGAATCCTAACTCTGCTACTTACTGTCTGTAAAACCACAAGGCTCAGGTAATACTTACCAGAGCAGTTACCACACGTAGAATCGCTCCTTGCATGTTATTCTTCAATTTCTTCTAGGTTCATGTATTTATGAACATTATACAGATAGTAAGTAGCAGAGTTAGGATTCAAATTCAGGAAGTCTGATTCTAGACCTTAACCCCTTCCCTTAATGATAAGATATATATATATATATATACACACACACATACATGTATGTATTTCAACTTCTGGATGTCTCAGTTTCCTCTTGAGATCAGAATATTACCTATTTCTTGAGAATATTGTGAGGACAAAATAAGACAATACATGCAAAAGACTTAGTAGAGTAGCTTGCACATAGTAAGTACAGTTAACACTCCATATCCACAGGTTCTGCATCTAGACTCAACTCCATAGATTCAACAAACTGAGGCTCAAAAATATTAGGAAAAAAACCCAATAAAAATAACAAAAATAAATATATAATTCGGTAGAGCCACTACTTACATAGCATTTACACTGTATTAGGTATTAAGAGTAATCTAAAATGCTTTAAAGCATATGAGAGGAGGTACATAGGTTATATGCAAATACTATATCATTTTATATCAGAAACTTAAGAATTTGCAGATTTTGGTGTGGGGGTTTCCTGGAACCAATGCCTCACAGACACCAAGGGTCAACCATATTTAATCAATCTGAGCTGTTTTTCTCTATGTGCATCAACCTAACAAGATTCTATGAATACTTTGAGGACAAGGTCTGTATATTATTTCTCTTATATCCATTACTGAGTCTATCATATAGTAATTGCGAAATAACTATTTGCTTAAAACTGACTGAGGTTAATTGGACTTAAAGATTTGCTTTCTTTTCTCAAAGGAAAACAAAGCACATATACCGTCTTTCACTGCAATCATCACTGGAGTTTTCATGCTAATCACTGGAGGAAAGACTATTAATAATTTGCTGTACTTTAAATATCTGTCTTTTTTAATATTAGTGCATCAATGTAAATGCATATCAATACCCTTAGGTACATACAGAAGCGAATTCACATTTAAGTTGTGAAATACTTACAATTATTTACCAAAAGCAATTAAGCCCTTTTAAAAATAATAACTAGGAATAATTTATGGGCCACAAAAAAAGAAGAATAGGTCACTCACTTGAATGTCCTTTCATAGAAAATATGCACAAATCCACTTTTTTGACAATAAAATTACATTGCATATATTTAATTTGTAGTAAACAATGTACAAAGGGCAGCAACTGGTGTTATAAAATTTGATGAACATCCAATTAGCATCAACGTATCAAAAAGTCTTCCTCTCCTATTTACTAATTCTGCAATTTACCTAGCCCATAGGAAAATCTTTTTCAAAATTAAAAACAAGTAGACTTTTCTGAAGAAAAATAAAGTACTAACTATGGACTATTACGTTTTGAAACAGGCTATAAACTAGCACATGATTAAACACATTGGAATAGCAAAGGAGAATGTATGCCTTCGTGGTTTATGGCTATTTAGACAGAGCCCATTTGAGTATTTTACTGTTTAAGAATATTTCTATTAACATCTTATTGTATGTATCTATTAGGAAAGAAAACTATAATGTATAGAATTATAACAGTTACCATTTATTGACTTTTTAATAAGTAAATGAAATTGTAACAGATCTTTCCCAGGTATACAGTAGACTCTTCTTATCCATGGTTGCTCTTTCACCAGTTTCGGTTACTCCTCAATCAGCCATGGTCCAAAAAATATTAAATGAAAACTTCCAGAAATAAACAATTTATAAGTTTTGAATTTAACATTGTTCTAAGTAGCATGATGAAATCTCACACCATCCCACTGACATGCCCTGGATGTGACTCATCCCTTTGTCCAGCATATCCACACTCTATAACCTATAAGCCCTACACAATGTGATTGTGTTGGAAGAAAACAAAACTATCCACAGTTTCAGGCATCCACTGGGGGTCTTGGAATGCATCCCCCACAGATAAAGGGAAACTACTGTAATCCTATTCAACATTCACAGAATCACTAGATGATAAGTTCTATCAAGACAGAATTATATCTGTCATTTTATTTGTCAATGTTCTCAGTAATCAGCACTGAGCCTGGAATACAGTCGACAGTAGATGCCTATTAAACAACAGCTTCCCTTTGAAGTAGGTTCTTACGAGAAAAAGATTCTTAGTTTGTTAATATTTCACTATTAGAGAATGTACATTTTACCAAATCTACCATTGTTTGGCATGGTCAGGGTTATGTTCATTTATAGTTTCAATGTTCACTATATGTTGACTATCTATGTTCACTACAGTTTTAATGAAAGAAGGCCTGAGACATACCTTTACTTTGTCATGTGTAGAAAACTGTAGGATGGAAATTGAGCCTAAAATTTCTAAGAAAATTCCTAACACATACACTGTAGTTAAAAGTCTGCAAAACTGTGATCCTGATCCACGTAAATTGAAGGCTGTGAAATATGACCATTAAAAAATCTTAGAAAGCGTATTTAGAATTTGTTAAAATCTCTTTTAAGATTATGTCATCAGTTAATAAAGAAAGAAATATAGGATAAAGTAACCTCCAAAAGTCAAAACCACGAGGCTCAGATAATACTTACCAGAACAGTTACTACACGTAGAACCACTCCACGCATGTTATTCTCCAATTTCTTGTCAGTCAGTGACCCATTCAGACCTGTGACAGGATTCCAGCAACCAAGCTGAAAGATAAGACAACTTTGGTCATTTTTCTGCCTGAAGAACAGTCCCATCACCTCTGTATAGTCTTTATGGAGAACTATGTGATAGCTCTTAGAATAATTGGTATGGAAAGAGTACTGCACAGGTTTTCTTTTTAAATAGGAAATGAAGTTATTAGATATGCCATTTCTTGCTCTTAAATATCATTATATGGCACATGACAGTACCCAATGTGCTTTAGGAGGCTCATTGAGGACATTTTACTTAATGAGGACTTATGTATACACCAATCACTCAGTCCCAGTAATGTACTAATTGGAAAAATAATAGCACATATAACTCTAACATAATGTCTTTTTTAATATATCAATTACTGTAAGTTAGATTCTCTAATAGTTTCAATGGTTTTAATTTGATCTTATATGGCTTTTACTGGGAAAAAAGACACTATTTTTAATATGGTTAGAAGGGCAACTGCTTTTATTTGAAAAAAATCATGTGTATGTCTTTGTTTTCAAAGTATTCATAGCACATAAAACAATATAATTTGCCTTTTTGGCAGTGTTATCAATTTGCTTGGAATATTTTGGCAGCAGCCTTTCCCTTAAAGTCTTGCAATGACTCACTGCTCTTTACTCACCCAAATAGTAGTTTAATTTTATGCTGTTATATAGGTCTTATCTCTTGGAATGTACAAATCTGAGGGCTACCAGTTTTTAAATTACTGTCTATATATCTGAATGGGATAAAAATTGATGACTCTCAATCAAAAATATGGAGAAAGAAAGAGATGATTTGACTTGAATTAGCAGATAACTGTTTACAGAACAAGGCTACAGAGAGAGAGAATGTTGTAATGCACATCTTGAGAAGAAATTTCCTATTATTCATCCTGAAAGCAGATCCATGAGCCTTCACATTTGGGAACATATTCCGCATGTGCACACTTAAAAATGTAACAGATCTTTCATCATATTCAGAGACTGTTTTGATTAACTGAATGGTCATAGGGGCAAATGGTTATTTGTGCTGTTTCCTCCTGATGATTGTGATTTATTTCTTTTTATTGCGGTTTGTCTGTAGCTTCCAAAGTCATCTACATACTGGCTGGCAAGTCTCCCCCACAAATAAACAATTTAGGTGCTTCCTATTAAAACCCAAGTTTCCCTTTAAGCTCCCCAAAAGGTGTTTAATTAAGAAAATGAAAATGTACATAATATATCTTAAGAGAAGGGAATGTCACAGTATAAACAGCAGAGCCAGCTTTTTCCTTATTAAAATAATTTGGAAAAGGCTGCTAATTGTTAGTTTCAACTGTAAAAGCACATTAAATTCATACAATGATATGTCATTCTTAGTTACATAAAAAGCCTAATTAGAACTTAGATCCAATTAGCAAATCCAAATGTGTTGAAAGTCTAATTATCAAAGACATTGTGGTCCTCTTGCCATATTTAAAACTTTACGAAATTTCTTTTGAGCTTTTCTCTTCTGAGGTCAACAAAAGTCTATCTTCAATTACATTCCCTGATGTGTGCTTTTTCTAATTACTTCCTCAAGAGGATTTTACTTTCCTAGACCAAATAATATTGGTGGAAAAAGTGATCTATAACATTAAGTGAAGAGCTATTCCAATGTGCTTTCTCCACATATTACAACCATATAACTTAATTTTAAGCTTAACGAATAGCTTTTAAGATATAATCTTGTTCGTGGTAAGTATGTCTAAGCTGCCAAAGCACACACAGGAATTTCTTTTCTGTCCCCCTTAAATTCGTCTCTTAACTTTGGTGAACCTATTGTCAGTTTGTGTAAATAAATGACATCTATTAGCACCAACTTGACTGTACCATTTTGGTGTATTGAGTAGTCAAAAATATCAGCAACTGGATTAACAGTGAAACCTGAGCCATTTGTTTCAACAATGCTATGGACAAACATTTATAAATATATAATTTCCAGTTTCCTCAGAATGATGTTTTCTTTTAAACATAACTGAACATGGTCAATGGTTTTATAATTCTAAAGCATTCTAGTATTTGGAGGTTCCAAACAATGACAGCAAAAAAGCATTTGAAGTAGGTAGAATAGGTAAATATATCTAATCTTCTAACCTAGGCAATGACTTAAATATTATTCATACCATGTATAATATTTCTTTTCATTTTAAAAATGTTTAATATTTGGCTAGACTCTCTCATATATATTACAAGACAATAATTTCTCTCCTCTGCTTGACAAAGACTTTTCACCTTTCTGTGTTCTCCTTTTTTTTCCGCCTGACTCATACATCCTTTGATAACAGCATTTGTACAGTTGTTCTTCTTCTTAATAACAGCAGTCTGGATTTTAGGATTGGTAAGTTCCATTTACTTAGTTCTTCCTTCAAATGTACAAACAAATTTTAATGTTTCCTAAATATTAGCTGTGGATGTCAAGAGTTAGGATGCTCAAAGACTGAATTTGGGAGTAAAGAATGTTTAGGATACAGATTATCTGGAAAACTAGAAATAAAGTACATTCTCTTATCACATATGATAATGGGGTATAACTAAGAAATTATTAAGGAAATAAAATAATACTTATTTCCTATATTGATTATGTTTTTGAACACTGTTAAATACTTTCTATGTGTCAGCCATGGTACTGAGCTTTTTATACATGTAAGCTTCACAATGACCATATGAGAAGGTGCCCTTACCATTATTATTTAACAGACAAGAAAACTAAGGACTTCATTAAGATCACATATATACTAAGAGGTAAAATTAGTATTTAATTCACTTCTTTTTAAAGTCCAGATACAGCATTTTTCATTGAGGTGTTGTTTTATAACTTATGAATCTTTTTCATAAATGTGATCTATTTAAGGTAGGAAGGGAAGATATTTCTACTTTATAGTCAACGACATTGAGACTCAGAATTGTTAAGTGTTTTGTTTTATACTCCTGGGCTCAAGGGATTCTCCCACCTCAGCCTCCCAAAATGCTGGGATTATAGGTTTAAGCCACAGCACCCAGTCTGGATTTCTCATTTTAACATTCTTTAATTTCTGTTCATATCCACTTACCTCCCTGAGGTTCATTTCAAGCTTTTTTGTTTGATTATAATAACTTTTTAAAATAATAAGCAATGAAAATGAGTTAGATTCATATAGATTCAAATTGAATTTGTATCTGCAACTGGTAATGTTTCTTATTGCATAGCAAGAATGACAGGCATAGTGTTTGATAAAAACTAGAAGAATTTCACTTAGGTTCAAGTGTGAGGCTTATCTAACAAGTCCTCTGGTTTCGATGTCTGAATTCTCATTAATTTGACTTCTCTGGTTATGTGGAGGTGGTTGTTTTTGTCTGCTGTGTCTTTGATTTTGTTTCTGTTTTTTTTAACAATGAGTCCAAGACTAGTAAAGAGAACACACACACAAAATCTCATACTGTCTATTCAGCTGAGTGCTTCCTAAATAAAAAACAATAAAGATGGCCCTTGCAGCACATGAGACTTAGAGAAAGTCACACTGCTGATGGCAAAACAAGATTCACTATCTTCAGTGGTCTGGCAATCTGAAGAAAATTTAGACGGGATAAAAAAAGTAAACCCAATTCAATTTCCTTTCAATTACAGTATATTGATTTTCTATAGTATTTTCTGGTTATTGATTTCCTATAGTATTTTCTGTCATTTTAAGACCTTAAAATGCCTAGTGCTTTAATTATTTCCTTCATTGGAGCTTTGGCAATAATAATCTTGTAACATTCTGTTAAAATTAATGTAATATCTTGTGTTCAACAAACTGGATTGATGTATTTGCATGAGCACAG
Source organism: Homo sapiens (assembly GCF_000001405.40). NCBI lineage: Eukaryota > Metazoa > Chordata > Mammalia > Primates > Hominidae > Homo > Homo sapiens. The sequence continues at coordinate 93,391,805 of NC_000004.12, read as the reverse complement.
TAGCCTGCTCCTAACATGTGTACTAATGATCAAGTTTTAAATATTTACTCTTTCTTCCTCAATGTTTCCACTTCTTATTTGCCATGGGCTGTAAGGAATGACTTGTGACTCTTGGGTTTTACATTATTTTTCAGGCAGTGTTATAATGTCAAAAAGAGCTGAACTGCTCGATTTTAATTTTATGCTCAATAGTTTGTAGGCTTTAATAACAGGAGTCAGGGGAGATCTTAATTGAATACCAAATGGAATTCTCTCCATTTATTAACTTGTATTCATATGGAACAAATGAAGCCCATCTGTACGACCAATGCTCCAGCTGCCGGACACAAAATATCCACTGCACTGAGGACCTATGCTACCAGCCACAATGTTTTGTTTACTTGATTTCTCAGCTGAGAAAAAGAGGGAACAAAAAGCCATAGGCAAAGCAGCTTAAAAGCCAGCCACTTAGAAATGTGCAGCATTTATTTGGTAGATATTCTGTAAGGGGATAGAAAGTGTAAAAAATACATATGGCAGGTTGACTCAGATACATGTTTTATAGAAGTAAATTGGAATGTTTTCCACTTTGACATGTGAATGAATGCAGTGTGCCAGTAATCTCTCCAATGATAATTTTCTTTATGGTATTTCCACCTGCAAGATAGGTTCAATTTGTAAAATGTGTTCCCTAGAGGATGATTATATGCTCCTAAGATTCTATTACTACAGTTTGGTCATTACTATAAAGTAGTAGTCGTTCTTGAGATTATGTGGAATAGCCTTAGCACTTGAGCTTCCTTCAGGAGAAAATGTCTTTGAAAAGTCAGAAAAAAAATCACATGGTTCAACCACTTTTATCTCCCTGTTTCACTACTGAAAACAGAACCTTCATACTATGTAACAAGAACTTGTTAACTGATTCCTACAAATGAAGAAAACATGAGAACCAGCATATATATACACACACATATATATACAAATATGTATACATATATCTATATATAGACATATTTGAATAAATATATACATATATATGTCTATATACACATATGTATAACCCATAGATGTTTTATGCAGTCATAATAATCACTCTATTATCAACTAGCATTTAACTGATTTAATGATATCCTATTTTTATAGGTTTTCCTTTCTTTTATAATTCTTCTGGTATAAAATTACCATTACACTACATTTAGAGGCAATATAGCATACCAGTTCAGATAAGAAGCTCTAGAAGAAGACTGATTGAGTTCAAGTACCTGTTCTAACACTTACTTTGCGTGTGCTGTTGGGTTTCAGTTTTCTCATCTCTCAAATGCGAATAGTAAAAGTGACTTCCTCATACAGTTTTTGGGACCACTAACTGATTTAAAATATGTTAAGTGTTTAGAAGTGTTCATGACACACTGAGACTAAAGAAATGTTTGTTATTATTTTTCCTATATAATCAGAATTCTTTTGTTCCTTGCTCAGTCTCATTTTTCGGGTGACTTAGTAGTCTGAGTGATAAAACATGCCCTTAAAACTGTGGCTTTCAACTTTTGTTGACTATTAGAATATTTTGTTGACTATTAGAATGGAAAGCTTTAAAAAATTCTGATGCTCCATCCAAACCCCAGGACAATTAAGTCAGAATCCCCAGGAGTATAACCAAGGCATCAGTAGTTTAAAAGCCTTTCCAGGTAATTCCAATGTATAGCCAAGGTTGAAAACCACTGCCCTAAAACTTGCTTCAGGCTGGGTGCGGTGGCTCACGCCTGTAGTCCCAACACTTTGGGAGGCCAAGGCGGGTAGATCACCTAAGGTCAGGAGTTCAAGACCAGCCTGGCCAACATGGTGAAACCCCGTCTCTACTAAAAATACAAAAATCAGCCAGGTGTGGTGGCACATGCCTGTAATCCCAGCTACTTGGGGGGCTGAGGCGGGAGAATTGCTTGAACCTGGGAGATGGAGGTTGCCGTGAGCCGAGGGTGCCACTGCACTCCAGCCTAGGCAACAGAGCAAGACTGTCTCAAAAAAAGAAAAAAAAAAGAAAAAAAAAAACTTGCTTCAACACACAGGGAATGCAAACTCATAGAATGGCTACTTAACCTCTTTTAATAAAGTCATTATTTTGACTGGTTTCCTTTGTGAAAGCTAACTAGGGATATTGTCTCAAGTAAACTATTTTTTATAATAAATATGATATGAACCTATAAACTATGTGCCAGAATGATGACTACCTTGTCCACAGTTGTACTCCTAGCTCTTATCATAGTATTGTTGTATTGGTACATGGCAGATTTGAATAAACAAATCCATGATTTAAAACTCCTGCTGTCCTCTTTATTCTTCTTTCTTTTTGGTTCTCCAGTTCAAGCTGAATGAAAAACCAAAATGTTTCCAACTAGACACCGTGTCCTAATATGATGTTGTATCCCTGAGAGTTTTCATGATTCTTCGGGGTCATTCCCCTCCCTCAAATTCTATTAGCTTTCCTTTTCTATCAGATCACAATATTATTATTTTTTCTAATAATATTTTAGCATTTAATTATTACAACCTGATAAAAGTTGCTGGATTTTCTTCTCTTCTATTCCATTCTACCTTGAGACATTTTAAGATGTTCATTTTAAAATCACATTAAATTCTCACTGTCTTTCCTATCTCCTCCATTAAATAATTAACCACTTAAGGTCATGGGTACCATCTGAATCATTTTTCTGTCTATTACAGTGCCTTTTACCATGTTTTGTACCAGTAAAGTAATTTTTATGAAACTGACAAGGTTAGTGTAAAGCATCTCTATTGCAATTTAGATCTTTACTCCTAAACAATAAAAATCTCAAGCTCAGCAATCTCCTTATATTTCACTATCACTTCACTGTCTCTGCTTAGATACCTCAAAGGGAGCTCAGATATCTCTAAGATTAAGCTCACTATCTATCCCTACTATCAGCTCAGTCCCACTAGCCAAAAATCAAGCTGTCAGTCTCACCACCTCTCAGATCCAATCCTTTGCCCAGCTCTGCCAATTTCACCTCTTTAAAAATGTCTCCTGAATCTATTTAACTCGTTCCTTCCTACCATCCTAGCCGAAGCTAATTTCATAGCTTCTCTTTACAGTCTTTCTTTGCAAACATAAATTCTGAGATTATAACATCTGCTTAAAGTCTTTCCATAGTTTTCCAGTATTCTCAAGATAAAGGCCAAACTTTGGATGTGGCCTACCAGAATTTGCATGATTTGTTATTATTTATATTCATCAATTCATGTCATAATGCCTTCCCTCTCATTCTTTGAATTCAAATCATATGAGTCTTCCTACGGTTTCTTGAGTAAGGCATAACCCTCCTACCTTGAAAATTTAAACATTGTTTCTAAAGCACTGACTAAAGCTTATCAGAACCGCTAGGGGAGTTATAAAAAAAGATCCCGACACCAAAGCCACACCCCATGCCAATGAAATCAGAATCTGGGCATGAAATCTAGGCATCAGTATTGTGTAAAGTTATGAAGATGATTCCAAAGTAGAGCCAAATGTGAGAATCAGTGGTTTTGAATATACAGTTTTCCTTGACTGGAACAATCTTAAGACACCTGCAATTCTTTAATGAATTAGTAAAGTAATTTTTCCTCATCCTTTAGATCTCAATATAAACACCTGTAGTTTGGGGTAAACTCTCCTTGATCTCCTGCCCCCACCCCAGGCTACCTCATATCACTGTAATATAGAATCATGTTCCTCTCTTTTACAGTAATATTGTAGTTAAGTTTTTTAAATATATATTTTGTATGATAATATTTATTGCAGCAATTATCTATAAATTTCCACGTGTTCAAGAAAAATTACTGTTTTGTTTCCTCTTCCCATTTATTAAATACATAATTATTGGCACAAAGTGAGACTTCAATTTTTATTGGATACTAAACAAATTTAGATGATTTTTAAACAAGAACCTTAATACACATTAAAGTGATTGTACATCATTTCTTTCTTTTTTTTTTTTTTTTTGAGACAGAGTCTTGCTCTGTTGCCCAGACTGGAGTGCAGTGGCATTATCTCGGCTCACTTCGGCCTCGGCCTCCCAGGTTCAAGCGATTCTCTTGCCTCAGCCTGCCGAGTAGTTGGGATTACAGGCACACACCACCATACCTGGCTAATTTTTGTATTTTTAGTAGAGATGGGGTTCCACTGTGTTGGCCAGGCTGGTCTCAAACTCCTGACCTCAGGTGATCCACCCACCTTGGCCTCCCAAAGTGCTGGGATTACAAGCATCAGCCACCGCGCCTGGCCTGTACATCATTTCTTATATGATGCTTTAAGTAAGTATCTCAATACATAGCCAACACTGTGTTACCAGCTATCAGCTGAGATTTTTCCCCCTTTTAAATTTAGATGGTGAATTTCCAACTGTCTTTCTTCCTGAGAGCAGAAAGGTTAAACTCTGTATAGTAAAGACCAAGGAACATTTTTCAAAAGCCTTCAGTATGAGGAATAATGATATTACCTAACTCTGGAGAGAATAAAATAAGTTGTTTTATTGGAGCTATAATCTGAACAGTTATATACAAGCAACCATAGCTATAGTAATAATAAGAGTAATACCTAATCTATGTTAGATACTTTTCATCTATATTATATCTCACTTGAAAGAGAACCACCAACATACAAATGAAATATAAACTGTTGAAACTTTTGGGAGGATTTCTCCTAGAAATCCTCTCAAGGAATCCAGCTCCAAGTCAAAAACCTCTGTATGATTTTGCCCTGCCCTAGGCAATACAAAGGCTTTGCCTGGGAGGCCTTCACAGAGGAAAGCTTCCCTCCCCAAACTGACTTGCACAGACAATGTGCTGCAGTGTCTGACGGGAGTTGCAGTCAAGGACTTAGGACCCCTGGCCAGCCATGTTTTATACATATTTGCATTCTTAGCCCAGGAGCCTCCATTCAGAGGCTTCTTTACTGGGGACTCTGAGATGAACCTTTCCAGGAGCCTCTGCCAAGACCTGCTTGTTGGGAGGAGTGGGTACCCTGGAGGACACTTTTCTCCATTCTGACTTAGTACTTGGTACTTTCCCATTCCTAGATCTTCCCCTTGCTTCTTCTCCTGCCCTTAGGTCCATAAAACCATAGGAACTTTTTGTTTGGGGTTCCCTGAGCAGTAAGACAGTTATCCAAAACTGTACTAATGCATCTGACCCTTGCGTGGTGCCATTTGTAGGGAAAATGAAACACAGGTGAAGCTGGCACTTTCTTTCTGGACTCTTGATTATACTATCACAGTAAGTGGAATAAAAGCTTAATCGTTACTTTCATTTTGGCTTGTTGTCTTACTGAATACTCCCACATCTGGCAGCTCAGCCCTCCCCAGCTCAGCTCAATTCTTAACATCTCCTATTTAATAATGGTGGTTTATATTTACTGAAGACTTATATTTATGAGGCAGGTATTGTGCCAGTCATTAGATATTATTTAATCTTTTTTTGCTATAATCCTGTCAGAATTATCCTGATATGATTATAATTATGCTAATTTTAACAGATGTGGAAATTGAGAATTAGAGGGATTAATTTACCTGTTCCAGGCTACTCAGCTAACAAATGACATAGCTAGGATTTGAACACAGGCAGTGTAGCTCTAGAAACTGCTGTCATTTTTTACCTCAATCAATGAGACACTATTTCAGAGAGGAATTAGAGCAAGGGTCATGCAGACAGCCTTAATAGTTTTGAGCGCTCACTTCTCAAGTTCAGCTTTGTGTTTTGGGGTCCTTGAGAAAACACATTTTTTTTTTAATAATAAACCCTTCTGTTTTGCTTCAACTATTCAAACTTGGTTTCTTTCACATGAGCTCAAAAATTTATATCTAACATATATGGACAGTATGGTAGATTTTGTGAATACATATCTAACTCAACATAGAGAAAGGAAGATATTTTTGAAAGACAGATAAAGAAGTAAAGAACATTAGGATGGGTGGTTAGATTTTATTTTCAGTAAAATCAGTTTTTTAAAAACCTTAGTTTCTCGATCTGAAAATGAAATGGTTTGTTAATGAAAAGAATTCTACACTCAAAACTCACAGCTTATTAGTGGTTGGGTTTATTTTGTGAATTTTTTTTTATATTATCAGAAAACCAATGTAAAATATATAAACATTGATGTAAGTATTATTATTAGTAAGGATTAATGATATTTATAAAGGGGAAGCTTACGAAATAACTTATGTCCCCTACTAGACTGCAAGTTCCATAGGCAAAGATCTTTGCCTCTTCTATTCACTGACGTATGGCAAGCACATGGAACAGGCCTAGTATACAATTCACACACAATGAAAATTTATTGCATGAATAAATGGCTCTTATTTTTCTCAAAGAAAGAACTAAGTCTCAGCAGCATAGAGGAGTTTTGTGGCATGCAGGTTTTATTTCAAGATGAGGAATAAATCAGTTAGTCTCATAAAATGTCTAGCTTGGTGATTCTACAATTGTTTAATATGATTGGGTTCACACCAAGAGTCATCCCTATGATGAACAAGAGAGGGTTTCTTATTCAGGTTTTCTAAATTACTCTCGCTAGAGATAGTACAATCAACCATTGCAATCAGTTTATCTGATGCTAAGACCGACATGACACTTGTCTAGGTCACTGTATGATTCTTCCTTTCCAGCTCTCTTGCTATCAGATGCCTTGCTCTTGCTGAAAATGTGCATGGAGTTCTTGGGTTTCATTGGTAACTATGAATCATCAGATGAGGAAGTATGCCTCTGAGTATTTTTATCAACTTTGAAGAGAATTTTTATTTTATTGCAGAGTATTCCAAACATTTAAACAATTGAAACTCCCATAAATCATTAACTCAACAGGCATGTTGAAAATGCTAGCATACTTCAAAAAGAGTCATTTTTTCCTTGTGGATTTATGTGTTCTTCTAATTACTCTTTTGTTAATCCTCCTAAATATGCTTCCCATATCTGTGTCCATTCACAACTCTTAGCTATAACCATATATGTAAGATAAGCATGAGAAAGTCAGGCGTATTTTAAAAAGGAGGTCAGTACTAAGTGATTGATATGCAGCAAGAAATAATGCAGTGCATGATATGCAGCAAGAAACAATCTAGTGGATAATAATACAACCACCGTGCATTAGTGTAAATACATCATTCTCCCACCACTTAAAATTTATAATTAAGAAGACAGTTATTTATTAAATACCTACTATGCTGGTTTTACGGGGTACAAGGAAATATAGAACATCATCTTTAACCTCCAAGAGTTTGTGATTGTTTTTGAAATGACAAAACAGGAAAAAATTTTTAATGACAACAAATTCCACTAGGCAGCATATGACTAATTCCCAAATGACTGATATAAATAATAAGTGCTGAGTGTTTTACAAAGGAGATATTTGTGAGAAAGGATCAGATGTCATCAAAGAAAATGATAAGAAAAAGCAGAGCACTGTGTGGTAGTCTGCCTGCAAGATGGCCACAGATAATTCCTCCTATCCCTGTGCACACATACCATTCTTCTTTCAAGAGATGGAGTCCACTTCCCTAATATTGTTGCGCTCCAAAATTCATATGTTGGAACTCAATTGTATTAAAGATTTAAGAAGGTGATTAATTCACGAGGGTTCTTCCCTCATGAATAGGATTAGCTCCCTTATAAAATGAACTGAAGGAAGTTGCCTTCCCCTTTGGCCATGTGAGGATACTGTTCACCCCTTCTGCAAGATGTGCCGTCTACGAAGCAGAGAGCAAGCCTTCACCAGGTATTGAATCTGCTGATGCCTTGACTTCTCAGCCTCTAGAACTCTGAGAAATAAATTACTACTATTTATGAATTACCCAAACTAAGGTATTTTATTATAGAAGCTCAAAAGGTCTAAGACAGCCCCTTTTCTTGAATCTGAGTTTGCTCTGTGAGTTTTCTCCAGTAAAATGTGGCAGAAGTGATGACATATGATTTGGTGGCATGAATCTTAAGAGATCTCACAGGTTTTCTCTTCTCATTTTTGGAAGCCAATCAAGTGAAAAAGAAATAAAGAAATAAAAAAAGGCTGGTCCAGAGCAGGGGAAAACCAAAGTTGTGAGTGAGATGTGAGCTGTGTAGGGGGTAGTGGCATCCCCATCCAGAGGACATTTCTCACAGCCATAGTCCACTAACAACAAAAATTAGAATTACAGCTGGTTCTCCCCAGCTTTCAAGGAGAGAAACAAGATTAGAAAGGAAGATTTTGGGAAGCTGGCAAAATAGAAAGCACCAGAAATCTGTCTCCCCATGTAGGCAACAACTGCACTGGCAGAATCTATCTGATATAAATATTCTGGAGTTCTGGAGTCTATTGAAGGCTTGAAACTTCCAGTGGAAAGCTTATAAGGAAAATTATGGTTACTTTTGATCAATTTAAGCTCTTAAAACAGTAGCAGCTACCTATCCTGACCCTTAGTCCAATGGCAGGCAGCCATGAATATGTTTCAGGAGCAACTTACATGCAGTTCACAAAAGCCAGCATGGGCAAAAGGAATGTTATAATCCAAATATTGGAGATCTGTGCTCTGATTGCTTACTGCTGCTTCTAATCACGGACTTGTAGACGAAGGGCTAGGTAGTCACTGTTGTTGCACCTCCCCTCCATTGTTGCACACCCCTACCCCTCTGGCTGAAGTAATTTCCAGGGGATTTAAATGGCCAGTGCCTGCTTGCCACCTTCATTTTTCTCTTTTCCTCTTTTTGGAGGTAGACATTAAATACTAAGACATTTAAAAGCAACCACATACACACGGGAAATTAGAAAGTTGCTGTGTATGCCCAGGGAAAGGTGCAGGCTCAAAAGAGACTTGAGAAGACCTTAAATTTACGTACATCTCAGATTGATCCTTTGCACAGAGACAGTCTAGTCTACAACATTTAGAACAAAAGGGGAAAACCTAGGAAATTTCTCCTAGGAAAACCTAGGAGAAATAAGTACAATCTGATTGCCGGAGTTACTACATTACTACAGTCACATGTCTAATTTTCAACAAAAAAAAATTATAAGGCATCCAAAGAAACAGGAAAGAATGGCTCATTTAAAAATAAAATAAAATAAGCCAACAGAAACTGTCACTGAAAAAGACATGATGGGGGACCTACTGGACAACTGTAATAAAACAACTGTAATAAAGATGCTCAAAGAACTAAAAGAAAAGTAGAGGAAATCAAGAAATAATACATGAATAAATTATAAACGTCCATAAAGAGATAGAAAACTTAAAAGTAGAAAGAAATTTTGTAGCTAAAAAGTACAAGTGAAATGAAAAAAATTTGCCAGAGATTTTCAAAGGTAGATTTAAGCAGCCAGAAGAAAGACTCAGCAAATGTAAAGAGAAGACCATGGGAATTATCAATCCAAGGAACAGAAAGAAAAAAGATTAAAGAAAAGTGAACAGAGAATAAGGAACCATTGGTACACCATCAAGTGGACAAACAGATGCATTATGGAGTCCATAAGAAGACAGAGAAAAGAAGAGAGGATATTTGAAGCCATAATGGCCAAAACTCCCAAATATAACAAAGAATATGAATATAAACATTTAAGAAGCTCAGTAAACTCTAAATACAATGAGCTCAGAGATCCACATTATCAACCTTTGAAATGATGAAGACAAAAAAGAGAATATCAAAAACATCAAAAGAGAAGTGATTAATCACATACAAGGGATTTTTGATAAAATTATAAGCATATATCTTATCAGAAATTTTGGAAACCATAAAGAAATGGGCCAATATATACAAAGTGCTAAGAGAAAATAAACCTGTCAAGCAAGAATCCTATATCTGGCAAAAATTTCCTTCAAACTAAGGGAGACATTAAGGCATTTCTAGGTATACAAAAGTTGAGAGGAGTTTGTTAACACTAGACTTGTCTGGAAGAAACGTTAATGTGAGTTCTGAAGATGGAAATAAAAATACACTATACAATAATTTGAAGTCATATATGAAGAAATAAATATCACAGTAAAGGTAAGTATATGGACAATTATAAAAGCTACTATTATTGTAACAATGGTTTAATTCAAGAAACTGATATATTTAAAAATTATTAGTTTTTGTTTTTGGACCTGCAATGTGTAAAGGTGTAGTTTTAGGACATCAGCAACCAAAAGAAGTGGGTATGGAAATGTAAAAGAGAGAGTTTTGTGTATTATTGGAGTTAAACTGGCATAAATCTAAATAAGAGTGTTATAACTGTAGGATGTTAAATGTAATAGCTATAGAAAATATACAAAAGTCAATGACATAGATACATAAACATTTCATTACAATAATCAACTAAACACAAAAGAAGACAGTCACGCAGGAAGCAAGGGACAAAAATGCTATAAGCCATATAGAAAACAAGTTTTTAAATGACAGAAGTAAGTCTCTCCTTATCAGTCAGCCTTACAAAGGATAGAAATACTACAACATGGATGAACCTTGAGGACATTATGCTAAGTGAAATGAATCAGTCACAAAATAACAAATACCTTATGATTCCACTTAACATAAGTTTCTTGAAATGGTCAAAATCATAGAAACAGAAAGAATAGCAGTTGCCACGGGCTGGACAGAGAGGGAAATGGGGAATCATTGTTTACTAAGTATAGAGTTTCAGTTTTGCATGATGAAAGGAGTTTTGAAAATAGATGGGTGATGATGGATGCAAAGGAATATAAATGTACTTATTATCATTGAACTGTACACTTAAAATGTTTAAGATGGTATATTTTATATGTGTATTTTACCACAATAAAATTTTTTTTAAAGGCTGGGGTAGAATATTGAGTAATTAGAGGCTATGTGGAGAGAAAAGGGTAACTAAAGCACCTCAGCCAACAGCCAGGACCAAAGCCCCAGACATGCAAATGATACCATCTTCAATCCTCTTACCCTAATTGAACTATCCCAGTGAGCGCCATGTAGAACAGAGGTAAGCTATCCCCACTGAATCCTGCCTGAATATCAGATCCGCAGGAACCTTAGTAATAAAACAGTTGTTTTAAGACAATATGCTTTAGAGTATTTTGTTATGTGGTATTTCATCATTGAAACACATGGCTTGTCAATGGTCAATGAACAGTCAATGGTAGCCTTTGCCTCTGAAATTGATCAGACATCTAAGGCTTCTATTAGTAAGAAGTTGTACATATATGAGGGATATTCTCTTGTTTTCTCAAGACTTTCTTTTATATCTTAAAACTTTTCCTTTTTAAATGCAAAATGTTTCCCAACTGCAACTCAGATAGACATTTCTGTATGCACTTGCATTTTGTGGAATTTCAATTTTCCTAATTGAAATTGAAAATTATCTATGCTTTGGAAAATAAGGCAAACTAGATCACGACTTGCTTTCAATGGCTGCCATAACAAACTGCCCCAAAGTCATCTGCTTAAACATCAAAAAATTATTCTCTCCAAGTTCCAGAGGACAGATATGAAATCAAAGTATTTGCAGGGCTCTATCCAAAGGCTCTAGGGGAAAATCTTTCATTGTCTTTTCCAGCTTCTCTTGGTTCCAAGCATTCTTTGACCTGTGGCTGCATAACTTCAATCTCTGTCTCCATTTTCACATGGCTGTCTCCTCTTCCTTTTCTGTTTTAAATCCCCGTATGTCTTTCTCTAATAAAGATACTTGCCATTAGATTTGGAGCCCACTCAGATATTCCATAACGATCTCATCTTGAAATTCTTTACAATTATATCTGCAAAGATATCTTTTCCCTATTTGATCACATTTACATGTTCCAGGGATTAGTTCATGGACATACTTTTTGTTTTTCGCAGGGTTGGGCACCATTTAACTTACTACAGATCACAATTTATAAATTCTCATTTTAGTGTCAAGCTTTTTATGAGGTCTGTTAAGTTAAAACACTATCTATTTGGGGAAATGGGTAGTTTTATGGGATCCAAATCCAATGGGGAGAATTGATGCTTTGTGTATCTCAATTGACTAGAATGTATTCAAATTAGAATAGAGAAAGTACTTACCAAACTGTTGTTGAGTTTGCATCTCTCAAATAAGTATCTCACTGTACTTATTATTTGAAATATTATCCTGGGCTTCAGTCACTTTACCTGTTTCTCCCAGTAGAATTTTGAGCTTTGTGATGGCTGAATCATCTTTTTATCACCATATCTCCAGCACTTTTGTATGCAATCGACCATTCATAAGTCATTCTGATTCAAAGTATTTTATTTTGCGCAATATGTTGTAATTAGTTTAATAAATATGTAGCGGGATTATTATCCCTTAGACATTTATGGCTGAGATACTGAGATGCATTTCCAATCTACCTTTTAATCTGCTAAATGGTAGGAAAAGATCTCTCCCCTTTTTGCTCCAGTCTACGTTTGACTTTCTAAAGTCAAGTGTAGAGAATGGAAGGGACAGCATAAGCTAGGTGTGATTACATACAGTCAGAGACATACGTAGTAAAATCAGAGGGAGCAAAAGTGCAACCCTCCTCAAATATTTTCAAAAAACTTTTAAAATCTATATTTTACCAATATATTAATTCAGTTAACATGTTGCTTGTTACTTATTCTATATTTAAATATATTACTTGTCTTATTGATAATAGCAAGTAAAGTGACGGAATAAACTTGATTAGATAATACAGTTTAGCTGAAAGTTGGTCATATTTGGTTTATAATAAAGCCTTACTATGAAAACACAATTCTTTTTCATAGAGTTTGCTTAGTGGCAAATCATATCCTCTATATGAAGTATATAGATTTCTTAAGGCATGTTTTATTAATGTAGAGAATAAAAAAACAGGTATCACTCTTGTCTTGCCAATGGTAATTTAGATCACAGGTTACTGAAGATAAAATCATTAATCAATCTTGGACCTCTATATACAGCAGGAATTATCCAAGGGATAATAGAGGAAGTTTTGTACAGGGATGTTCTATCCAACCAAAAAAATAATTTTCAGTTGGGACATCATTCAAGAAGTTATTCCTCCCAGCAAAAACAAACTGTAACCTTTCTCCAAAGTCACAGCAGAATAGAGCACCAGATGCACAAAGGTTTTAAGCCAAATAATAAAGACATAGATTCAGAAAAGACACTTGGGCAATATCAGAAAATTTGGAATAAAAATTTGGAATCTTAAGAGATCAAAAACAGGACCGTTCTCTAAGCTAATCTTACTGAGAAGTATCTCTAGTTCCTTAATAAATATCCACTTAAATATCAATAGCAGAATCCCATCACAGGTGTTTATAAAGTTTGTGAACCATATAATAAAATGTATGAGATTTTATTATAATTGTGGTTTACTTACCCAATAATTTCCTGTAATAAATTAATAAAATCCAGAGTAAATGAACCTGGGAGAAGCTGATTAACTTGTAATAACAATTACGGAATCTTTACTAGAAAAAACAGATATGCACCTTTCCTTATAGGATATAGATTTAACAAGGTTGATTTCCCAGGAATATTTACTCAATCATTATAATAGACCTTTCTGTGTAATCTGTTAGCAGTGCTGATATTAGCTGCATTACTTTATGTGGAAACCATTTTGGGGATTCATTGAAATCTAAATTTAAGTTTAAGAATTATTAATTTGGTTAAAGTAAGATTTATTCTAGGAATTTAAACATATTAAATTATTTTCAGAGCAGACAGGCATATAAAAATAGGATTAAAGTTTTGTTGAAGGTATAAATTTTTTGAAACAGTCATTGTAACTATCATTTTTGGAGGGCTCATGACACACCTGGAACTGTACTGAGGATTTGCATTCATTGTTTTCAACAAAGTCCTATGAGCTTTGATCTGTTAAATTAAACCTTATAAAATTAGTGACATTTTACAATTTTTTGACGTAAAAGTTGAAATTATAAAATATAGACATAAGTCAAGATATACATGTAGAATCATTTTATCTTAGTTTCTATTCTTATTCTTTTATTACACAATCAGAAGATTCATTTTTTTTTTCCAGAATGCTTTTTAAAATGCCAGGTTACTGTAGCAAGTAAAGTAAAAACTGTCAATTTTGAGACTCATTTTGATTCTGGCAGAGATGTTCTCTAATCCAGAGGGAAAAGACTCTTGAAAAACTTCAAACATCATCTCAATCCTCAGAAGTGTTATTATAATATTTTATTCAGTCAAATTAACAGCTGGATTGGACATATTTTGAAATATATTTGGTACAAGAGGGTAAAAAATGACAAGCACTATTGTGTGAAGTCTAAACTTATTGAGCTGAACACGATCAGAGCAACTTCTGGACAGGTTATCACAGGTGACTAGAATACTGTGCTAATGTGGGTGGCATCAAAGTTTAATAATCAGAGAAGGTAGTTAGTCTGCCAAGCCGAAACCCTGTCCTTCAACCAGAGCCTGCTCTCCTAACCTCAGCTAGCTCTCCAGTGCACCCAATTAACCTTACAAGGAAAACTCAAGAGGCAGCCTGATTGACTCATCAAAGCTCATCATAACTCAGGCAAAACAACTAAAAAGACATATCTTCTTTTAGTGAACATTTACAAAGTTTAAAATACCAATATAAAGCTTTTTCAACTTTTCAGTATAAAAATTTTCAAATATATAAATAGAATAAAATTATAAACTCAAATATTCATCATCCTACTGAAACAATTATCAACTCATTATCAATGAGTTATTTATTTATGCGCCTACTCTTTCTTGCCCCTACTTTGGTCAGATTTGATTTGAAACAAATGGCAGACATTATACAATATTATTTCTATTCTGGTATATATCTCTAAAAGTTAAGAAGTCCTTTAAAACATAATCATGACACCATTATCATACTTCCCAAGATTTAGAATAATTTATTTTTATTTTTAGTTCATGTGCAGGTACATGTGCAGGATGTGCAGGTTTGTTACAAAGGTAAATGTGTGCAAAGGTGTTTTGCTGCACTTATCAACCCATCACCCAGGTATTAAGCCCAGTATGCATTAGTTATTTTTCCTAATGCTCTCCCTCTCTGCACTCCACCCCGGGGAAGGCCCCAGTGTGTGTTGTTCCCCTTTCTGTGTCCATGTGTTCTCGTTGTTCAGCTCCCACTTATAAGTGAGAACATGTGGCATTTGGTTTTCTGTTTCTGTGTTAGTTTGCTGAGGATAATGGCTTCCAGCTTCATCCACGTCCCTGAAAAGGACATGATCTCATTCCTTTTCATAGCTGCACAGTTAGAATAGTTTCTCAGTGTCATCAAATAACCAGTCAGTATTAAAATTTTCTTTCTTTACTCAAATTAGGACCTATGTTTTATGAGTTCATGTGTATCTTGAATTGCTTTATTTATGGGTTCTCCATTCATCTATCTTCATTTGTTCCTTCAATTATATGTCACAAAATGGGTCATTTTTTTTTTCTGTAGTTTCCCGAGCTAGATTGTGCTGTCTGAATCCCCCATATCCACATCTTGCTCTGTGGATTGCATTATTTGCAAATTGGTAAATCTAGAAGATTGACCTAATTCAGCTTAATATTTGT
This sequence comes from Homo sapiens, assembly GCF_000001405.40. NCBI lineage: Eukaryota > Metazoa > Chordata > Mammalia > Primates > Hominidae > Homo > Homo sapiens. The sequence goes on along the minus strand of NC_000004.12, from coordinate 93,376,321 downwards.
CAATAATTTTGTGTTGTATACTTTAAACAGCAGGTGTATAATGTTTGTCTCCTTTTTTTGTAGTCATACGATCCGTCATTGATTTCAGGTATGACTTCCATTCATTTAATGAGCTGAATTGTGTTTCCCCAAATTTAGGTGTTGACGCCCTAACCCCCAGTACCTCACAATGCATTTGAAGATAGGGTCTTTAAAGAAGATAATTATGGTTAAGTGAGATCATATGGGTGGGCCCAAAACTAATCAGACTGTTGTAGTTACAGGAAGAGGAGATTAGACCATAAAGAGAGCCATCGGGTGCAAAGAAGACCATGTTAGGACACAGGGAAAAGTTGGCCATCTGCAAGCTGAAGAGAGAGGCCTCAGGGAAAACCCAATCCACTGGCACCTTGCTTTTGAACTCCCAGTCAAATTTTTGTCGTTTCAGCCACTTGGTCTGTGGAATTTTGTTACAGTAGCCTCTACAAACTAATATAATTAGTGATGGCCAAATGTTCATGTTTTACTTTTACCATTTCTTCTTCATTCATGTGCTGAAATATTTGAATAAAGAAAAACCTTTTCTTCAGTAATTATTTGATTAACCTGAGGTAGAGTTTGTTTTCACACAAAAAATAAATCGGTATTCTACAGCATCCTCCAAAAAGGTGTAACTCATGTTTTAAACATTGCATGGTAACTCACACTTCAAACAAGTGTGATGGTGAAATAGCAAGTGCTCTGGCTTCCTCCCTTAAAATCAACACTGGGGAAACTGCAGAGGGAAACATACATTCCAGAGACCTACACAACATCACAGTGAAAAACTCCTGGCCAGGCGCGGTGGCTCACACCTGTAATCCCAGCACTTTGGGAAAATGAAGTGGGCAGATTATGAGGTCAGGAGTTCAAGACCAGCCTGGCCAACATGGTGAAACCCCATCTCTACTAAAAATACAAAAATTAGCCGGGCGTGGTGGTGAGTGCCTGTAATCCCAGCTACTCGGGAGGCTGAGGCAGGAGAATCACTTGAACCCGGGAGGCAGAGCTTGCAGCGAGACAAGATCCTGTACTGCACTTCAGCCTGGGCGATAGAGTGAGATTCTGTCTCAAAAAAAAAAAAAAAAAGGGAAAAAAAGAAAAACTCCCATGGAGGGTAAAGATACTCTAAAGTGGCAGCTTAGAGTATGTTTGGCTGCAGTCTGGGTAGAGGCAACGGAAAGCTGCAGTGATGGATTAGGTTACGGTTTATGAAATTCAGCTCTTGCCCTTTCCATGTGTTGCTTTGGAATGCCATTCCCTGGTCCTTCCCTGTACAAATCTAATGTTGTTACCCAAAGCATTGATTAATGTATTGGGGCAAGGCAGAGTTAAGAATAATAGAGAAGCACTAAAATTCTTTTGGGAAATGAAATTGAAAGAAGCAGAGACAGGTCGATTGACTTTAGTCCCAACTGATTAGAAAGAAACTAGTAAAATTTACTGGAAAATAAATGTAGGGAACGTGCAAAATTTACACACTTTTAATGACAGCTAACTCCTAACCACACACCTTCCTTCGTTCTCTTTCATATAGTTGTGAGGAAAATTTTGTCACAAATATCTACAATATGATTTTATCTTCTAGGAATGTATTCATATAAACAGGATGAAACCACCAATTTCTGGTTAATCTCCAGAAAGAAGAATGTAGCTAGGGATGCATTTGGAGGAGAGCTCTATGGGGGGGATTTCAACTGACTTAAATTGTTAAAATTATATACTTATTTAAAAGCGGTTAAACAAATAAGCAAAAATAAGATACCAGCTGGCAAAACTCAAATGATTAGTTACAATATACTAACCAAATAAGTATTGACCTGGCTGCACTTCCATCCCTATAGTTTAGAATAAGTACAATTTCTTACTGTACCATTTCCTCAGCCTATCCACCAATTATTCCTTTGTAACTGATTGATAACATGAAGTGTTATTAAGCTTGAAACAACTGGGATACTGTAAACACCCCTGCTATTGCTGTTTCCTCACATGTGCTCCATCATTATCCTGCACTGATTTTGAAATTGTGAAGTGTTTAATCAAAACATGCCATACTGATTGCAACCTGAATCTGAAGAGCTAATATGACATATTATTGCCTTTTTTAGGTACAAAGAAAAACACATTTTATAAATGATATCATTTAAAATGAATTTTCTTCATCTACATGACAACATCTGTTGGAGTTATAATGACCTAACTTGACAGTGCAATCTACCTGTCTTAGGCATTTAAGTGGAAAGTGGCATATAACAGATGCATGCTGCGTTTTAAACCAAGAATTGGCATGGAAACTACAATGTACCACTTAAGACAACACATACTAGTATCAATATACCCTAATAAGCCTTCTGTAGTGTAGATCAATCTTTGGAAATTTAGCACTTATTTCAAGTATTTCCTTGCAAATACTTTTATTATTTCAGCAAAAGCACCTTGCTACATACTGTAGCAGCCTTTCCCGGCTGGCATTTCTCATTGGAACTAGAAACAACAAAAATGATTTCAGTGACCATTTTCCCAGTTCTCCCAAGAATGGCACATAGCCACTACCTGTCAAGATGCATAGGAGAGAAGTTAATTAATCACATACAGTGGCTGCTTTAGGTATTAAGGCTTCATTCTCTGTATTAGCAAGGATGCTGGGGATAACTATTACAGCAAAGATTCAGTTACAAATGAATTCATACTCTCTATTTCAGTTCCTGTTCCAGGAAAACAAACATGATACATTAATTTTAAAAAGGCACTTTGGGTTATAAAGATATATAAAATATGATTCTTGTCTATGGGTGATAACATCTTGTTGGAGAGGCAATAAATAAGAATAAGATAATCAGTAGTAAGACCACAGTATACATATTTGTACTATACACTGATATAAATGGTCACTATATTGTAATATGAAGTAATTAAATTGGTAAATCACATTACCTTCTGCCACTGTAGAAACTAAAGAGATATTTTTTTCTAGGTTGTCCTGGAAAAAAAAAACTTAGAGAACAGAAGGTATTTAAACTAAAAGAAGAGAGAGGATAACAAAAGATGGCAGAAAAATTCTAGTTTGAGGAACAGCACAAGCAAAAACATATATTTAAGAGTGATAAATATTAGCAAGTTCTGAGGTAAGGGAGAAATTAAAGGGCCAGCAAATAGTTCCTGTGGGGAAATGATAGGAAATAAGACTGAATAAAGGAGGTAGGTAAAGATTGTAAAGGCCTCTGACAGCTTAGGAGATGGGTTGAAGACTTGAAATCTGAGACTGAGACTTTTAAAGTGAACACCTGTATCCACCACCAAGCTTAAAAAGGAACATGATGGTTCACTGTTGGTTATGGGCAAAGGAGTAATATAGATACCCACAAAAGTATTATCTACTTATATATTGCACATCTATCTAGTGGCTAGCACTGCTGAGAGTGATACATATGTTGTACATATTTTCATAATTATCTTACAAGTTGGGCATTAGTAGTGAGACTCTCAGAAGTTACTATCTTCTCACAGTCATATAACTGGTATCTGGTATATATACTATTGTATTGTGCTTAAGATCTGTCTGATTCCAATGCTATTAAAGCACATATCCATGATGGAAGCAATGTTTATGGAAAATTAGTTTGGATGCCGAGTGGAAAATAGACAGTGAAAAATGGTTTCTGTGCCTCTAATGTCTACAAGACACTAGAGACACAGAAACCATTTAGGAGTCAATTAAATGAGTCCTCCCAGGGATCGTAAAAACAAAGAGGGAGGCCCAGAAAAAAGAGAAAAGAAGGAGGAAGCAATGAGAAGCTTAAGGGGTAGAGAATAATAAGCAAAAGCAGGACACAATATCTTGGAATACAAGAAAGGAGAAACCAACATGGGGACATTGTAGTAGTCAGGGAAATTGAATAGAGTGAAGAGGTAGAATAATAATAAAAGTGTTCTTACTATAATCCCTACTGTCATTTGTGCATATGTAGTTACATTTTCCTGGAAAGTCCTCTCTGTCTTTTCAAATTGTTATGTTCCTTGAAGACCCAATTCAAAATTAACTTTGTGGTGTGAAAAATTTCTTTGCCATTCCTTAGAAGGAATAATTATTCCTGAGATACTTAATATTTGATATGTATTACTATTTTATTGTTACCTTTGTTTACTTGTGTGTCTTTAATACTATTATAATGAGGTCTTTGAAGCAGAGGCTATTCTTACATCTACATCAAAATATAAAGTGTATATGTACTTTTTAATTACAAAAGAAATAGTGGTGGGTCAGGGGCAGTGGCTCACGCCTGTAATCCCAGCACTTTGGGAGGCCGAGGCTGGCAGATCATGAGGTCAAGAGTTTGAGACCAGCCTGGCCAACATGGTAAAACCCCGTCTCTACTAAGAATACAAAAATTAGCCGGGTGTGGTGGTGGGTGCCTGTAATCCCAGCTACTCAGGAGGCTGAGGCAGAAGAATCACTTGAACCTTGGAGGCGGAAGTTGCAGTGAGCCAAGATCATGCCACTGCGCTCCAGCCTGGGCAACACAGCAAGACTCCATCTCCAAAAAAAAAAAAAAAAAAAAAAAGAAATAGTGATTATGTATATACCAATATACAGAAAAAGAAAAGCACATGTGATGTATGGAGTATTTTCATCCAGTCTCTTAAAAATATATAATTTATTTTTCCTAGTTTGAATTGTAACATTATTTTGCATGTGAATCTAATCCTGAAAGATCAGACATGTTCATCTTCTGACCAGAGTAATTGGTTCAAAGAAATGTAAGTGGTCCAACGAAGGCCAGTTAGAGCCTTCCCTTCATCCATTAGATATTTTCTGGAACGATTGAGTAAAAGGCTTCACTCTTTCCCTGAGACTGTTAAATATGAGTACAGTATCTAGAATAATAGTCTTGTTACCACATGAGTAGAATCTGCCTGAGAGGGAAAACAAAACAAAAAAAAAAGGAATAACAGAACACAGTAATGGCTAAACATGGGCAGTTCCCTAATGGCATTGCTTGAGCATCTGAATGTAACTGTACCTGGTGCCTGCTGGTCTCTTAGGCTTAACAATTATATCATATAGCAGGAATCTTTTTACTTAAACTTGGCATTAGTTTACTTCAAGCAACCCTAATAGTCTCAACAAATATGATTTCCTTTGCCTTTAATCTTAAACCCTAATTTTTTAACAATTCTATTTTGGGATTTTTAGCCTTTGTGCAGTGCCTACAGTGACATAATAAGTTCTTTCTGAATAAACGATTCAATGCATCTTTCTCTCTTACAATGGAGTGTCTCCATATTGAGTTCCTGGTCCTAGAAGTATTTTGCTTAATTTGTTAACTATGATTATAAAACAGATATAGGTAAATCGTGCCATTTAAATGTATCAATGACTTTAATTTACAGTAATTTAGTTCATCAGAAGTTTATGAGCATTTGCTATGTGTCAAGAACCATGCAAACAACTAGGAGATGTAAAGATAGATAAGACCCAGTTCTGTCTTCAAGGTGGTCATAGTCTAAAAAACAAATCACACAGGGAAAATAAACACGATCGCATATGATGCACACAGTAATAGAGTTACATGTAAGGAGCTATGAAGATGTGTAAGGATCAGGGAAAACTATAGAGAAAATATAATAGTTGGCCAAGTTTTAATAGCTGTGCAAAAAAAGAGAAAACCTTAAAGCAGAAAAAAGAGGGAAGAACACTCTGATCTCAAAAAATAACATGAGCAAATGCAGTTTATGATTATTTTCAAGAAACAGTGAACAATTCTGTGTGACTGCAATATCAAGGAACTGTGTGTGCGTGTGTGTGTGTGTGCGTGTGTGTGTGTGTCTCTGTGTGCGTGTTTGTGTGTGCGTGTGTGTGTGTGCCTGTGTGTGCGTGTTTGTGTGTGTTTGTGTGTGTGTGTTTGTGTGTGTTTGTGTGTGTGTATGTCTGTGTGTGTAGTATTATGAAGCAAGGAGAGGAATGTTAAGTGATAAATCTGCAGACAAGGACAGGGATCGGAAATTTAAGAAGAAGCATTGCATGCTCTTAAAACCAGGTTGCTTTTCCTTTATGTATCTGAAAGCTAGACAGATTTTTAAGTAGAGAACACAAGAAAGTCTGTGTTTTGAAAATATGTGTATCTACTGTTTGTATGGAAGGAGAAGGATAGCATCAAGGATTAAAAACAGAACATCAAGTAGAAGACCATAGCCCTTGGATAAATTGGGCTTAACCTAAGGGAATTTCAGTGAGGATTAGAAGGAAGGGGGATCATTTAAGGCCTCTTTCAGAGACAGAGTCAATAAGGCTTCAGTGCCAAACTGGGGAGATCTTGAGGACAATGTGCACTGGGAATATGACTGTATGAAGCCTAACCTGCAACAAATAATTAATCACATTTTCAAAACTGTCTTTTCCTAAAGTGGAAAACAGCTTCATTGTGTTACAGATGCTCTTTATATTTGTAAAATAATTAGAAGAGAAAGAGATGGCCCTGTGTATATATTAATGCAGCAATAGAAACCTAATTTTGAGCCTGGCACAGTGGCTTATACCTGTAATCCCAGCAGTTTGGGAGGCCAAGGCAGGAGGATTGCTAGATCTCAGGAGTTTTAGACCAGCCTGGTCAACACAGAGAGACCCTGTCTCTACAAAAAAATGAAATATTAGCTGTGTGTGGTGGCATGCACCTGTCCTCTAAACTACTTGGGAGGCTGAGGTGGAAAGATCGCTTGAAACTGGGAGTGTGATGCTGCAGTGAGCCATGACTGTCCACTGCACTCCAGCCTTGACAACAGAGCAAGACCCTGTCTCAAAGAAAAAAGAAACCTATTTTAAGCTGCTTGTTAGAAAATGCTTTTGTAGTAGGTTAAATCATGGTCACCCAGAGATATTAAATCCTAAAATTTGGAAACAAACGTTGCTTTATTTGGAAAAAGGATCTTTGCAGATATAATTATGTTAAGTATTGAGAGGGGAGAGTGTTCTAGATTACATGAATATGCACTAAACCCAATGACAACTGTTTGTTTAAGACTATGGTAGAGGGAGATTTGTCAGACAGAAGAGGAGGCAACATGGCCATGGAGGCAGAGATTGGAGTGATGTTGCCACAAATCAAAGAATGCTGACAGCTAACAGAAGCTGAAACGCTCAAAATCATTCTCCCCCAAAGCCTTTAGGGGGAGTGCAGCCCTGCTGATACCTTGCTTGTGAACTTTTGGCCTCCAAAACTGTGAGAGAATAAATTTCCGTTGTTTTAAGCCAATCAGTTTGCGATAATTTAAGATAGTCAGGGAACAAGTCACTCTGTTTTAATCGTTTGGGACTGCTCACAAAACCAAAAATAGTGCACATTTAAGGTATTCAATAAATACATGTTGAATCAATAACTAAAACTTTCTCTCTCTCTTTTTAGATGAAATCAACGTTTTCTTTTAAATTATTAAAACTTGCCAACTCACTACGACTTCGTAAAGTGGAAGACTCTTTAAATTTTTCCAGGTTATCTTCTTCCTTTTGCAGGTGTGACTTATAGTAAGACTAATCCCATTTTATGATTGTGATCATTTGATTCTTATTCCAATTTACCTAATCTAATTTAATCTAATTTACCCCATGCTGACTAGCTTTTCATTAGCATTAAAAAACCTACATTGAAAAAGTTTATTGTTTTACTTAACTACATTTAATCTGGATATTTCAAAAATAACATGGACACAGGAAGGGGAACATCACACACCGGGGCCTGTTGTGGGGAGAGGTGGGAGTGGGGAGAGATAGCATTAGGACATATATCTAATGTAAATGATGAGTTAATGGGTGCAGTACACCAACATAGCACATGTATACATATGTAACAAACCTGCATGTTGTGCACATGTACCCTAAAACTTAAAGTATAATAAAAAAAAACTTTAGTTATTTAGAGTCTTACTATATCCCCATAGTTAAGAATGTAACTTAAGAATGTAACATAGTTAAGAACATAATTACTTCCCCTTCCATAGTTTTCTCCCTCTCCTGTGCCCAAGAGTTTCTAGAGGTTACTGATTTTCTAGATACTTTTTTTATTTCTGGTAAATAATAATTATACATTTAACCACATCCTCTAGGTAAGAATTAACTGTCACTTTATTGGTTGGGATAAAATGTAGCTACTAACTGGATTAAAATGATGTTCTAGCCTTACTGAGATAGTTAATTTTGTTTTCCAATTAGTTTTGAGAAATTCTGTAGTTTGAAGGTCTTTAAGCATTGATACTTCATAGAATTCCATTTTGTGATTAAAAAAATGGACTCTTTAAGTAAAATTATATTGTTTCACTGGTTTTTCTCTGAAATGAATTCATGTCTTTATATAGATTTTCTGTAATCACTGGTGTCTCCTGATAAATTTTCTGCTCTAATTTAATCAACCCTATGTTATTTATTTTTTCAACAGATAACAAAAATAATTCAATCCAACACTCACAATCGTGACATTTAACTGGAGATATCACTCAACTCATTAGTTCACTGACATTAATCAACACTCTTCTCTGTATGTCTTTTCAACCAGCTTATATTTCCTTTAACAGTGTTTTTCAAGCCAACTCAAATTAATTTTGCAATCAAAATTTCACACGACATTGTCTCCAGTACTTTGCTAGAAGTCAAGATGCATTATGTCTACTCCACTCTGTTCATTTACTAAGGCTGTAAAGCTATCAAAAAAGCAACCAGCTTTGTCTGGCACAATTTCCTCTGTATTAACCTATTCGTATATTTATTTCTTATGGCTGTGCTTTCCTTTCTCAGGCTATTTTAAACCAAGGATGTGGTAATTTTCACAATAATGTTTCATTTTTAAACATTCTTATTCAATCAACAAAATTAATTACATTTAAAAAATAAATTAGTCATTTTTGTTTAAAACATTTCTAAAGAGTCCAATAGATTGGGGAAAAAATGTATTAAATTTAAGCCAAGGAGAGAGGCAACTAAATTTGATGATGGCATGACTGGGTGGGATTATTTTAAGAGTGACCAGTCTGAGACTTAAAACTAGCTGGCTCTGATACACCTCCTCCAAATATCTGTTTAAAAATTTCAACAACTGACCAAAAAAAAAAAAACTTAAAAAAAAAAAAATAAAGCCACAGGCTCCATAATTCAAGTTAGAGAAAGATAAATGAGAAATTCTCAAATAATTTGAAACAACTAAATTGAGATTGGGGATAGATTCAAAAGCATACATTTCATCTATGTATTTCATATCCCATACTTACAACCAGAACAGGACGAATTAGTCCAAGGAAAGTAGAAATATACTTTGATTCTCTTTATGTTGTATAATTCCTTTGAGTATGCATAACATTGGGGCTTAATACTTATTCTAAATATATATATATATTTATCAACCATATATATTCTTTTTCAAATTAGTACAGGGAAGGTAGAAATATGCTTTGAGTCTCCCTATATAATATATTTTATCGGGGAATTGCCCCGATATTCATGTAGGTTCTTTTCTATTTTCCTTAAGCGTCGGCCAGCTTGAGAAATAAAGGGACAGAGTACAAAAGAGAGAAATTTTAAAGCCGGGCGTCCGGGGTAGACATCACATGTCGGTAGGTTCTATGATGCCCCACAAGCCACAAAAACCAGTAAGTTTTTATTAGGGATTTTCAAAAGGGGAGGGAGTGTGTGAATAGGTGTGGGTCAGAGACATCAAGTACTTTACAAGGTAATAGACTATCACAAGGCAAGCGGAGGCAGGGCAAGATCACAAGACCACAGGACCCAGGTGAAATTAAAATTGCTAATGAAGTTTCAGGCACCATTGTCATTGACAACATCTTATCAGGAGACAGGGTTTTGAGAGATCAACCAGTGTGACCAAAATTTATTAGGCGGGAATTTCCTCTTCCTAATAAGCCTGGGAGTGCTATAGGAGACTGGAGTCTATCTCACCTCTGCAGTCTCGACCATAAGAGATGACCATGCCCAGGGGTGCCAGTTTAGAGACCTATCCCCAGGTGCGCATTCTCTTTCTCAGGGATGTTCCATGCTGAGAAAAAGAATTCAGCATTATTTCTCCCATTTGCTTTTCAAAGAAGAGAAATATGGCTCTGTTCCACCCGGCTCACAGGCAGTCAGAGTTTAAGGTTATCTCTCTTATTCCCTGAACAATTGCTGTTATCCTGTTCTTTTTTTAAGGTGCCCACATTTCATATTGCTCAAACACACATGCTGTACAGTTTGTGCAGTTAATGCAATTATTACAGGGTCCTGAGGCAATATACATCCTCCTCAGCTGACAGGATTAAGAGATTAAAGTAAAGACAGGCATAGGAAATCACAAGGGTATTGATTGGGGAAGTGGTTAGTGTCCATGAAATCTTTACAATTTATGTTTAGAGATTGCAGTAAAGACAGGCATAAGAAATTATAAAAGTATTAATTTGGGGAACTAATAAATGTCCATGAAATCTTCACAATCCATGTTCTTCTGCCATGGCTTCAGCCAGTCCCTCCATTTGGGGTCCCTGACTTCCCGCAACAATATTTCCTTTGATTATGCCTAACTTTAGGCTGTAAGAGCTTTATGGCCAAGTAAGCAGCAAGCTATCCTGAACTATATGAGAACTATCTTTATTAGTATCCAGAGACTTTGTTCTCTTATTCACTACCTGCTGCCTTCTCAGTTACACTCTTTCACAAATATCCAGAGACTACTACTCAAAGCAGAAACCACCGTAAGGTTATGGAAGTAGAGAGGGTGAGATGACAATAATTTTTGTTTTGGAAGATTTAGTCACTGAGTGATAAGTAGTATAAACAAGACAGTGTCTGGAATAAATGCTCTGTCATAATTAGACCAAATAACTTTAGTAAATCTCTGTCAAAAACCTATACATGGAATACCTACTATGCATGGTAAATTTGATTAAATGCTGAACATATCTATTTGATCTTTAACTCTAGGTCTGAGAAAGAAAAACTGAACTTAACTAAATGGATTGTAGAGGAGGCAAAAGATGCTTCACTTTCTTTAACTATTGACAAAAATAAAGATTGGGCCTGGATGGTTTATAGAAACATAAACAAACACAAAAACTCATTGCACCCTAAACAAATCAGAATATCACCCTCAAGTCTCAGAGGTAGTACATACCTCACATAAATTCTGGCTGCATTCAATAAAAATGTTGCAATATAATCTGATGAATGCCTTTAAACAATGAAAATCTAGGTGAAACATCAGTAGAGAACCAACAAAGAGAATAGGCTGAAAGGAAGGTAATGATATAAAAGATGAGATAATATGAGAAAAGAAAACAAAAAAGAATAAAGACAAACTTCTACTGCAGAATAAAAATAACAGTTGGGAGTAGTAAAGAATGCAAATGATATATCAGGACTAATGAATAAGTTACACAATAAGTGAACTTTTAAAACTCTCAAGTTGCAAAGAAAAGGTCAAAAAGAAGAGAATAATGAGAAATATGACCTATAAAGACAGGAATGCAATCTAAGGCCTTAAGATTTTCCAGAAGAGGGTTAGGTACAGTGGCTCACACCTGGAATCCCATGGCTTTGGGAGGTTGAGGTGGGAGGATCACTCGAGGCCCCAAATTCAAGACTAGTTTGGGCAACATATCAAAACCCTATCTCTACAAAACATTTATAAAAATTAGTCAAATGTGGTGGCATTTGACTGGGTGGTAGTCCCAGTTATTTTAGAGGCTGAGGTGGGAGGATTGCTTGAGCCCAGGAGTTGAACGTTACGGTGAGCTATGATTACACCACTGCACTCTACTCTGAGTGACAGAGCAAGACTCTTGTCTCTAAATATAATTTAAAAACAAAATAAGATTTTTCAGAAAAAAATAATAGGTCAATGAAAATAGATTCAATACTCAAAGAAATAATGGAAGAAAAATTTTCTAACCCAAGTATGATAGTTTATATATTAAAAGAGCTCACTAAGTCACAGGCAAAATTGATTTTTTTAAAAAAGCCTATTTTTAGACCTAACCTTGTGATTATTTTTTAATTCCAAAGTTATAAAAATTTTTCCACATGTGTCTAAGCACAAAAACAGATTACCTACAAACAAATAAAAATAGCACTAGTTTCAGATTTTTATGAAAACGTAGCTTTAGTATTTTTCTCCTTAGCAGCAGATGTCAGTTGAAAATGTATATATGTCTTCAGATTTTTAGAAAGAAAAAACTAAGAATGCCAAATTGTTATTCATGAGAAAAAGCAATAGGAAAACATTCTCAAACTACAATGAATACAACACACATATATATATTTTTCTTACTCTTTGGCAAGAGAATTTAACTGAGATGACTATGAGATGAATAAAAATACAGAACTGAAGAATAGAGAATATAAAAGTATAAAATGATTGGAAGAGAAGTTGGAAGCAATTACATATATGAAGCTAGGCCTAAAAATAATATTTTGGATGACTATATATACATATATTTTCTATTAACTAATATTTTCTCTTATGATAGTTTTGGAAGAGAATATATGAAGAGGAAGTAAAGGGGTGCCTTAATTTTCATGCACAAAGAAAAACAGATTGTTGTAGTATTGTTTTTCATAATTAAGGTATATTAATTTAAGTACATGTTAAATCAACTTAAACAGATTCACTAGAGAAATTAAAAACAAAATTCATATGTTCTATGTCACAAAAGAAGGTAAATACATACATTGCAAGAAAGAGAACATAAGCATGCAAGCACTCACACAACAGTAACAACAAAACAAGAATTAATTAGAAAAAAAACACATATATCATTAACAGAGGTAGTTTGATTTTTATATATTAGATTTCCAGTCTTTGCTTAGGATGTAGATGTCTGGAAAGAGCATTAATTCCTTCTCAACAAGAAAAAAAGAAGCTGTAATGGACAAAATCATCACTCCTCTTAACCACATCGAGGGCTGGGATTGCAGGTAGATCTCATAGCCTGAAATGTAAGGAAAGACAGGCTCCTCCAAGGACAAAGAGGCACATGTGTACTGATGCAGCTGGAGTAGAGCATGAAAGGAGATTGAGGTCCTGATGAAAGTAGGTAAGAAATTTTTGTTTGTTTGTTTGAGACAGGGTCTCACTCTGTCGTCCAGGCTGGAGTGCAGTGGTGCAATTTCAGCTCACTGCAACCTTCATCTCCTATCAAGTGATTCTTCTGCCTCAGCCTCCTGAGTACCTGAGATTACAGACATGCACCACCATGCCCAGATAATTTTTGTATTTTTAGTAGAGATAGGGTTTCACCATGTTGGCCAGGCTGATCCCGAACTCCTGGCCTCAAACAATCAACCTGCCTCAGCCTGTCAAAGTGCTGGGATCACAGGTGTGAGCCACCGTGCCCCGCTGCAGGTAAGGAAATTTTAATTTTTAAAATAAATTGCCTAATCCAAGTATGAGCTTGCATGAGTATAGAGCTTGCATGATAGTATATGGTGTAAGAGTACACTCATAAGAGTAGAGAACTACTGGGATTCACAGGCACAAAGGCAATTTCCACCCAACTTGCAGGCTATCTTTCACAGACCTCACCATGTGTTTACAACGAAGACTGGAGGCAGAATGAAAGATCAGAGAAAACTTCTCTCAGTGGTGCAGGCCTGAGAAGAGGAGCAATTTCTGTTGTGAGAAAGGGGTAAACCCTTGCCCAGATTTTTCTTCCCTACATAGCTTATTGAACAAAAGCTTTAAGGCACTATGGAAGGGGAAGCAAAGCTTAATAGCTTTGCTATAGTTTCTCAGGAAACAGGTGAAAACTCAATGAAACTGTGTAAAGGGTAAAAGAAAAAAATCAACCATTCCAAAAGGGGTAAAATCTCCCCCAAGCATGAGACCTGCCAAACATTTAAGACAAAGTTTGACTGCCATGAGGAGGATGAGTAGGATCACCAAGAAAGCCAGATCCCCAATCCAGGGACACACTGCCTGCCTAAGCCTAAGAACTGTCCACAACCCGTCCCCCGGCAACAACTCCCCACACACCCACAAGCAGACTAGTAAGTGGTGTGAATAACAAGTAATGGCATTCTACCATTGAGAGAGAAGCAACGGTATAAAAAATATACTCACTGAGGCACAGGCTCACAGGAAAATCTAGTATCGAGAAAAGTTACAAATTCTCTTTAGTGACCCAACACCTAACCTAAGCATAAGATTTCACTAGAAGATTGGAAACCTGTGGTGCACTGAGTGTAACAAGCAACAGCAGTGTAAATCAAGATTGACTGTTGACTGGATTGATTTAACAGCCCATCTCCAATAAAAACACACACTGGGGCCTGTGGGGTGGGGGAAGGGGGAAGGAAAGCATCGGGATAAATAGCTAATGCATATGGGGCCTAATACCTAGGTGATGGGTTGATAGGTGCAGCAAACCTGCATAGCACACGTTTACCTATGTAACCAACCTGCACATCCTGCACGTTTCCTGGAACTTAAAATAAAATATAATCTAAAAAAAAACTAGCAGCAGGAGAGGCATGCCTGTTTCCACACATTAATACTATTTACCTCAGTCTCTGCTGTCCTTACATAGTGTCTGTCTTTCATTCAAATGTTATAAGACACATAAAAAAGCAAGAAAATAACACCCACTATTAGGACATAAATTAATCACTGAACTAGATGCAGATATAATCCATATGCTGGAATCAAAACACAGGATATTTTAAAGAATCATGATTAATACAGTGAAGGCTCTATTAAAAAGGTGGACAACATGCATGACCAGATAGGAAATTTCAGCAGAGAGATAGGCTCTAATAGAATCAAATGGAAATCCTACAAATAATAATAATAATAATAATAATAATAATAATCACAGTAACATTTAAAAAGAGCCTTTGATGGGCTCATTTGTAGACTTCATACAGCCCTGAAAAGACTGAGCAAATTTAACAAGAGAGAAAAATAGCTTACTTCTTACAAGACCAAGCAGCATATTTATAAAGAAGCAACAGACTATAGTTGCCAAAACCTCAGTTTGGAGACAGAGAGCTTGGGTTCAAATTTCAGCTCAGTTGCTTACTAGTTTTGTGACTTTGAACAACTTACATAAATTCCCTCTGCTTCACTCAACTGTAACCCTCAGTAAATGGGATGATAATCATACCTTATAAGGTTCTCTTGAGGGCTAAATGAATTATTGCATGTAAAAAAATTTAGTAATTATGCATGTCCCACTATAGATGTCAATAAGTGTTACCTATTGTAATGAAAAAAGAAAAAAGAAGCCAGTATAGCAATGGTTATATTAGATAAAATAGAATTTGGAGAAAAATTATTCAATATGCAAAATGTTATAAAAGTACATTTGATAAAACTTTGTACACTAAAAAAAGCAGCACAAATATACAATGTGAAAATCTTAGAAATACAAAGAAAAACAAAGAAATATAGACAAAGAGAAGTACAGAAAAAATATAGACAAAATTGCATGTGGAGTAAAAAAAATTTAAAATGGCACTAATCATCTATAACTGATAACAGGTGAAAAATTAAGTATATGAAAAATATCATAAATAATATAATTGAATTACAAATTATAAAACAAATTGGATATCCCAAAGAGAATATAGCATGCTCTTAAATATTGATGAAACATTGACCTTATATTTGCAACAAAACACATGTAAATATTTTGAAATTCTGAGCATGTTACAAAATAAATAGGAAAGTTCACATTATCTGACCACAATGCAATACTAGAAATTAATAACAGATATATATTTTTAAAACTACTGATAAAATATTTAAATAAGGATTTTCACCATATAAATTCATTTAAAAAGGATATCTCACATATTTAGAAAATAGAAATACTGACACTACATATCAGACCTATGGGGTAAAGCCAAATTGATCTCAGATGAAATATTCAAGTAATTAAAAATATCATTATTGAGCACAACAAAATTAAAATAAATGAACTAAGTATTCCATTCAAGAAGCTGGAAAGGTTAGAATACATTATTTCGCAAGATAGAGAATGGAATACATAAAAGCAAAAGGCAAAAGGAAGAAATGAATACATTAGAAAAAAAGGAACATAACACTAATATAAATAAATCCAAGAACGGATTCTTTTAAAACATTGGTAAAATGAACAAGTTTCTTATAAGACCAGTTAAGAGTAGAAAATAAACAACTGTAGAAATAAAATATTATCGCAGCTATAAAGAAGTTGTCTCATTAAGAAATGTCTAGGAATGAAATTCTGTTAATGAATTTTAAAAGCTATTTTTAAAGAAGATTTACGTGTCAAGACTTTAAGAAGACTTGCAAAGGTAATATGGAACAGATAATTCCTATATTATTTAAGAGATTGCAGAGAATATAAAAGAAGTGATGCTTCAAATGGTGGCTTGATTGTATTATTGACCCCATTTTTTTTTTTTTTTTTTTTTTTTTTTTTTTTACACCTTCCTTATCTATGCCCTTTTGTAATGCCTACTGCCTTCCCATTACTGACTCTGGGCTTGGCTATGGTATTCGCTTAGCAAATGAAACAGTAGCGCTATCCATGATGTTGGAGCTACTGTTTCATTTGCTAAGCAAATACCATAGCCAAGCCCAGAGATCATTATGTTGAATGAAATGAGCCAGGCGCAGAAAGATAAACATCACATGTTCTCACTTATTTGTGATCTAAAAATCAAAACAATTGAACTTATAGTCACAGAGAGAGAAGGATGGTTACCAGAGGCTGGGAAGAGTAGCGGGTGGCTAGAGATGGGGATGGTTAATGGCTACAGAAAAAAATGAATAAGACCTACTATTTGATAACACAACAGGGTGAATATAATCAATAATAATTTCATTGCATATTTTAAAATAACTAAGAATGTGATTGGATTGTTTGTAGCTCAAATGATAAATGCTTGAGGGAAAGGATATCCCATTCTCCATGATGTGCTGATTTCACATTGCATGCCTGTGATGAAAACATCTCATGTACCCCATAAATATATACACCTACTATGTACTCACAAAAATTACTTTCAAATGAAAAAAAAAATGAAAAAATTGCAAACAAGTTTCAAAAGACACATGCATGGTTTAACTTTATTGGACCCCTGACGACATGTGAGGATGTGTGCCTGATCTAGCCTGTTGGAAAGAAGGATGTCAGAGACACATTTGAAAGAGGGATGAATTATCTCAGCTGAAGGTATCCCAGATCAGCTATCTTAGGTGACTTGCCAGTTGACCACAGATGATGAGCAAGCCCAGCTGAGGTGAGTCAAACCTGATCCAGTTCAGCAGAACATCCCATCAACCATAGACTCATGATAAATAATAAATGGTGTTACTTAAACTGCTAATTGAGTGATGGAGAACACAGCATTATCATGGCAACAGTTAACTTTCTTCCCATTGTTAAATACAGCCAATAAAAACAGACTTCAAAACCTGACAAAAATAGCAGAAAACAGAAAATTAACCTCCCTTATGTAAAATAACTGTATTAATAGTAGTAGCAGACTTAATTCAGTATTACTTTTAAAAATAACGTAGTAACTAAGTCTTATTTGTTCCAGATATGATTCATTACTAGATCAAAGAAGAAAAATCTGGGTAGATGCTGAAGTAGAATTTGGTACAATGTAATCCAATCTTTTCTTAAAATTTCAAGACCTTTATTTAAATGTTTTATCAGCACTTTTTTGTTTCTTTTTTAAAATCTCTTATTAGTTTCTAGAGTTATTGCATTATGGTCAGATAATGTGAATTTTCCCCATTTATCTATTTTCTAACATGCTCAGAATTTCAGAATATTTACAGTTATTTCATTTACTAATATAAAGGTCAATGTTCCATGGATGCTTACCAATATGCTATGTTCTCTTTGGTATATACAATTTGTTTATTTGTTTAACAATTAGTACTTAAAAACAGAAGTACAATTTCTTAACTTATTAAAATGTACCAATTTAAAATAAATGATCATTTTATGCTGAAGCAATTCTCATTAAAATCAGGAACAAGAAAAGAGTCATTTTTGCTACTGTTAATTAATATTTTTAAAGTAATAGCTAATAAAGCTTGATAAAAACAAAACATTTAATATAGGAACTAAAGACATAATTTCTTACTGAGGATATAATTGCCTATCTGGAATACCCAGGTTAGTGTCCTCTTTCTAAATTAGAAGAAGAAATACTTTGAAGATGCCATTTTTCTCCAAAATTGATCTACAAATTTGATAAGTCCAATGAAACTATCTTAAAGACTTTGTTTGTAAACATCATTAATTATAAAGCTCCTTTAAAATAAAAAAGAATAATAATATTTTGAAAAAGAAAAATATATTGGATTTACCTTACCAAAATTGTAATTAGAATATATCACAAAGTTTCTGCAGTAAAAACTTTATATGATTTGCATCAAAATAGGTCAATAAAACAAAATATATATAGCACAAACACAAAATGAAATTTTTATTATACAAAAAGGTGGGAAGGAATGGATTACTCAATTAGTGACTTTTGAACAACCAAGTTGTGACAGATAAAATAAAGCTGGATTCCTATTTCACACCTACATCAAACATAATCAAGATCCTTTACATATTTAAAGAAAAACATTTTAATATAAACTATATTGCTGCAAAATAACAAAATATTTTGTAGCAATATTTTGTAGCAATATAAATTTTAATATAAACTATATTGCTGCAAAATAATGAAATATTTTGTAGCAATATAAATAAAATAAACTTGGAAACCAAAAGAAAGACCTTTCTAAATATAACAGCCAGAGCAGAAACTATAAAAAGGAAAATTAATAGTTTGATAACATAAAACATTCAAAACTTCCCCCAAAAATAGGAAAAATTTAAAGAAAAATGAAAAAATTGGGAATAAATATTTTCAACATATATGACAGAATATTTTTTAATTCATGGAGTTAATAATTAAATTATTTTTTAATTCATGGAGTCCTCTTGAATTAATAAGAAAAATATGCATAAATAATGAAATAAATAATTAGCTAAGGCAAAATAATCAGTGGCATTAGTAATCAAAGAAATGTACATACTTTTCAACCTGTCAGTTTGGTAAAAATTAAAAAGCAGGATAATATAGTTTGATAGGTGAGAAAAGAGACATTTTCATTTTTTGTTAGTGGGAGAGTAAATTGTTATAACCTGTAAGAGGGAAAATGATTACTTAATATGAAAAACCTTCAGACTTAAATATCATTTGATCCCTAAATCCTAGCTATAAAAACATAAAAAAAATTGAAAACAGGCCATATAAGAATTTAAATATAGATATTCCAAATTATTTTCATTAGTGAAAAAATTAAAATCAACCTTAGTACCTTAGAGACAAATAGTCATTTGTCCTTATAAAGAAATAAAAGAAATAAAAAGACACACAAAGCACACACATATTTGTTGTCATAAAAACTGTTCCAAAATGCTTGTACATAAAAATAATTGCAAAATAATGTAAATGTTTGACCCCATATTACTCAAAAATATGAACAAGATAGCTGATTCTGATGAAAAAATATGTATCAAAGTTATAGAAATGGAATTTCAGTGATTTCTGTCTTTCTTGTACAACTTTTTTTGTTTACACGTTATGTTTTAATAAAATGCTACTATAAATAATTTTGTACATAATTAGAATGAATCTACAACATATAAAAATATGAGAGGCAGCCAAAGTTTTCATAACTGTTTAATTCATTTTATAAATGCCTTTATGATTAGGAGAGTTAGAATAAAAATACATGAAGTAAGCATTCAATTCAGTAACTTAGAAAAAAATCATAAAAGCATTTTCCATAAATGAAACAAATGGTAATAAAAGCAGACACCAAAAATTAGTGGTTCTTAAAGTAGAATGAATAATTGAAAAAAAAATTTATTCTTTGAGAAAAAAATAATCATAAAAGAACTAAGCTAAATTAACAAGAACAGCAAGAAATAAAATTGCTTATCCTAAAATGAAGCTGGAGAACTAGGCCAGGGCCCTTGTTTTTATATACTTTATGAATCATATTAAGTATTCTATACTTGATAACAATGGCAGAGGGACAAAATTAAAAATGTAAAATTTGTGATGGCAAGAAGTAGCACAGTGTCTTACCCATTGGAGGTGCTCAACAAATGTGGTGAGTTAGTGAAAGATGATAAGTAGGTAAGTTTATATTTATACGGGTTTTATATGTTTATGATTTTATGTGATTTTTAAACAATAATGTTTATATTTTACAGTGTTCTTTCTTTCTGGGTCAGGTTTGTAAAATAAATTAGAAAGAAGCTCAGCTAGAGGAAGAGAGACAAGTCAGTCTTTGTGATGTTCTGGGTAATAATTAATGAGGGCACCAGCGGATTTTGAGAGTAAGAGACAAACTGGAGTTACATTCTTTTGCTGTTCTCTGAAGATCTGTAGTAGGATCATACTTTCTTGCATTCTGTGGTAGCATGTAGGTATTGGACCAATTTTGGCCAAGGAATTGTGAGTTGAAGTAAAATGTGTCACTTTCAGGGCAAATATATTTTTTGCTGATGCGAGGTCCTGCAGAGCTCTCTTTCTTAAACTGATAAAATTACAAGCAAATTCTAGATAGTGGCTGTTTTTTCAGTCTATGGACTAAAGGTGGCCACACATTCTTTTACTTCTCCTGATAAAGAAGTGGAGTTTGTTTTTCCAGTTCGTGAATCACAAGATCGATTGCTTAACTAAGAGGACATAGCAGAAATGATGCTGTGCCAATTTCAGGTGTAGTCTTAAAGAGTATTGGCATCTTCCACTTCCTCCCTCTTGGAACACTTGCTCTTGAGATATGGCCTCTGCAAATTCTTCAGCTGTGCTGTGAGAAACCCAATCCACGTAAACAGACTCCATGAAGGCTGTCCAGCAGACAGCCCCACTGGAGCCCCCAGTCAACATTCAGTATTAACTGCCAATCACACAAGTGACCAATGTTGGACAATCCAGCTCAACCAAGGTGTCAGATGACAGCAATCCCAGCAGACATCAAATGGAGTGGAAACCCCCCTCACTGAGCCCATTCCTCCCACAGAACCATAAGAAGTCATAATAGCACTGTTATGTCAAAACCACCAAGTGTTGGGGTGGTTTGTTCCACAGTAGTAAGTAATGGAAACAGTCTGGATCCAGGAATAAGAATGTTGAGGAGAGGAGAAAACACTCTCCCCAGAGTAGCCTTATAAGCATGAGCAAGAAATATACCTCTCTTGCATTAAATCATTGAGGTTTTTACATGTTGATGATAATAATAATAATGACAATAATTGTCCTGATTTATAAATGTAGAATATCTAGAAGAAATAAGTTGTGGAGGAAATTTAAAAATAAGCTCAGTTTCACACACTCAGGGGGCAACCAGGCAAAAATATCTAGTAGGCATTTAGGTCTTCAACACAATATGTCTAGGGTCACTTTACAGGCCTTATTGAACATTTTATATATATTATATATATATATATATCTTATTTATAAAATATATATATAAATCTTCATATATAAATATTACATATACATAAAGACTACATATACATATACATAAATATTACATATACATAAAGATTACACACACACACACACACACACACACACACACACACACACACACGGATGAGCCACCCCAGGGGAGTAAATAATCTGAACTTTATACCTACTTTAGCGTAGTTTAAAATCACGTTAAGTGTTTAAAAGTCCTAATTTTTGAGCTATAAATCACTGTCACTGTATACGATAATGGTGATACAGGGATTGGTAATGTATAATCTTTGTCCTCAGGGAACACTCAATCTTTTCTACCAGAATTATGGGATTCTTTCCCTCAAAAAAATTTGCTTCTTTCCTGTTTCATCTTACATTTAGTCCTTTCTGTAGCTTGACAAGTCTGTCATTCTTAGCTTCTGTGACATAATCTTTATTTCTCAATAATTAGTCAGTTTAATGTCTAAACAGCATAAGATTATTCAACTGATTAGTGCAATTTAAATTATAAGAAATTATGAAAAATAAATAAGATTCTTTCATGCAACATGAATTCAACGAAAACAAGTTATGCCAAAGAACCTCATTTAAAAGGCTTAGTGTTACTGGACAAGTAGATCTTGGGAAAAAAGTTATCCTCATATTTAATATCTATTTTCTATTCTCCATAATGGTAGAAAGATCATCAACTTTGTAGAGTTGCTTTAAAAATAAAATAAGTTAATAATTGTAAATTACTTAATACAGTGTCTGGCATATGTGTGTGTGTGTGTGTGTGCATGTGTGTGCTTGTGTGTACATTTATTCAATAACATGAATAAACCATCGATAATTCAACAATGTCAATTTCAAGTCCTCACAATAATACTGGATGTTATCAAAGTTTGTAGGTGCCTACTCTTATACATGGGGCTCATTTTCTTGCTACTGTGAACATTATCTTCTTTGCTGTCTAAGGAGGAGGCTAAATGGAGTAAAATAGTGCCTACTGCTTTCCCTTGGCCATTGTTAATATGTCATCCTCAGCCCCAAGTAGCAGAGTTTCCTCTTTTTATTATCTTTCTTGTATTACGCATGATTTTTAAAACACCTTTGGAATTTTTCTCAACTCCATTCTTGCTTTAAACTCACTGTCAATTTTTTTAGGTGTCTATATTATTCTTCCATTATCATTCTTACTTATATACCTCTACTTTCATCATTTTCCATGTTCTCACATTTATTGCTAGCTCCTTGGGCTGCTGTGCTGATCTCTTTGGATGCCCATTTTCTTCTTTATCAGCACCATCTGTGATTGTGTGGTCTGAAGTCCATTTTGACAGTTTCTCTTTTCTTTTGTGGCATTTTCATTTTATTGTTATCTGATCTCCTAGCCATTCTTTCTCTAAGCTTTCTGTAATGTGATTTTTCACATCTAGCTGTTTCTGATTCTGTGTACTGTTACTTTTCCTGGCTAGCTCTGACTGCGGGGAAACATGATTAATTTTTCCAGGGTTCCTGGTACTTTTCCTTCTTTAATAGGTTCCTCTCTTTTGGTAGAAGTTACATCTGGTGACAGCTCTCCTATTAAGTTTAGAATTGATTAAAATATCTAGTTTCCACAGAATCTTCTTATGTATGAACCATGGAAGTCCACGCTCACTACTATGTGTTACCTCAAAGCCAGTTTTACAACAAGGATGCCTGAGTCATGTCTTCAGCCTCACCTGGCTTTCTAAAGCACATCCCATTGGGGAACTGTTTTTGTTCTCCTTCTTTTTGAATCTCACCCAGACACAATGATATTTTCAGGACTTGCACATGTAGCTCTTCACAACTCCGCTTTATTTCTGCCCTTCTTGATTGCTTCTGTTGACCACAATACATCTTTTTTATGCATACTCAAATTCCATCAAACTGATAGAGATCAAGTCTTAAGGAGGCAAGACTGAAATTAGGGTAGGTAGTCAAGCTTTGGTCCAAGCATCTCCATTGTACCCCACCATGTTCTACAACAACAACAACAACTACAACTACAAAAATAGTCTTGCTCTTTAGGAATACATTTACTTTGCATCATTTTTCTTATCTCTGTATTGGGGAGACATTCTGTTGCCCATGGATAAATATTTCTAGAATGAAATTGAATGCATCAGGCCATAAAACTAGTTGTCATTTCTTATTAAGATCATTCAATAGAGTGTAGGACTTTGGAGCCAGACTGCCTGGTCTGTTTTACAGGGACACCACTTGCTAGTTGTGAGACTGTGGACAGATTATTTAACTTCTCACTAAGCTTACCTATCTAGGAAATGTGAATACTTATAGACTTGCACTGATTGGATTGTTATGAACTTTAAAATAGTTAATACTATGTGATTTTTCACATGTAGCTGTTTCTGACTCTGTGTACTGCTTCTTTTCCTGGCTGGCTCTGATTGCAGGGCAACAAGATTAATTTTTCCAGGGTTCCTGGTACTTTTCCTTCTTTAATAGGTTTTTTAAAATAGATAATACTATTTTAGAGTTCTTCAAACTTTGAACTTTAAAATAGTTAATATTTGAATATAGTTATTAACTATTTTAAAGTTCACAACAATGAACCTTGATTATGATTCAATGATCTCCACCTGTCCCTCTGATGAGAATGCCTGGCTTGGAATTATAGCATACAGCAAGAGAATGACTGCAAGCTTCAAAGTCAGGAATTAAGTGCTCTCTAATCTTGCTACTTGTCAGCAATATGGGCTTAGATTTCATATTCGAGCTTCTGTCTTATTTTCTGTAAAATGATGATAAGAGTATCTATATAACAGGGTTGATATGAGAGTTAGAGTGAGTCATAGAGGATGAATGAAAGTGTAAGGCATATGAGAGACACTCCTCCATTGGGAGCTGTTAATGTTGTTATGATTCTCCCTGACTTCAAGGAGCTTATATCATGTTTGGTAGGCAGCACTGGGTCATGATTAAGATCTATTTCTCTGAAGTTAAATAAATTTAGATTTAAAATCTGGCTCTAATCCTTATTGGCTATGTAAATGTAGGCAAATTACTTAAACTCTCTGAGTCTCCCATTCTTTATCTATAAAATATTCACATAATAACATTATAAAAACTAAATAAAATAATGCAAATATAGAGTTTAGCAATATGCAGCTTAGCACAATGCATGGAGCATTGTAGTTGCCCTTCCTATTATCACTGACTTAACTCCATTTTCATGAAACAAAGTTCTGATTGTAATTTGTAGATTTGCCTACAAAGAGAACAAGTAGAGAATAATGCCCATAACATTTCTGGTCTGCTTGATAGTTGTATTTCTAATTGTAAATGTAAATGAATAATTCAGAAGTGTATATATCAGACACTTGTGAATGTCAATAACCTTGATCAGTCTCAAAGGCTAATCCATTTTGTTTTATTACCAATTTCAATCATAAAATCTGCAAAGCTGTGGATCAGATGCTGGGATTTTCTAACAACTGTCTGTGTGCTGTCACTCTGTGAGGCCCTGTTTGCATGCAGAGCCAAATTTTCTATAAAACTCTCTACCAACTAAATAACTATTTGCTGTGAAAAGAAGGTTTGAAGTACTTGTACGTATTAACATGAATGCATGACCTGTGTTTTAAAAATGTGATTGATACGGTTTGGCTGTGTCCCCACCCAAATCTCACCTTTAATTGTAATAATCCCCACATATCAAGGGCAGGGACAGGTGGAACATTGAATCATGAGGGCAGTTTATCTCATACTGTTCTTGTGGTAGTGAATAAGTCTCATAAGATCTGATGGTTTTATAAATGGGAGTTCCCCTGCACACACTCTCTTGCCTGCCTCCATGTAAGATGTGCCTTTGCTTCTCCTTTGCCTTCTGCCATGATTGTGAGTCCTCCCCAGCCATGTAGAACTGTGAGTCCATTAAAACTCTTTCCTTTATAAATAACCCAGACTTGGGTATGTCTTTATTAGCAGCATGAGAACAGACTAATACAGTGATAAACATTAAATAATTTTTAAGGTTACAATTATTTCAACAATGACTGGGATTTGGTGTCTGGTTCTGCTGATTACTAGGTATGATGCTTTACACTTGGCTTCCTGGTCTTCAAAAAAGACTTATTAGCCCCTATATCTTAGGGTTATTATGAAAATTAAATTATATGTTATGTGACTGCAACTAGTATGTATGTGTTAACTAGAAGATACTCAAACAGGCAGGGAGGGATTTTTTTTAAAAAAAATAGCTCCCTGCCTTGTACTATCTACTTCTCAAGCTTTTTGCTGATTCCCCTACAAAATAATTATAAAGCTTGGATCACAATCTGCATCTTATCTCCTGAATAGTGTTTACTGATTTTGCACTTGATTATGTTTCCAATTCTTCATATTCTCTGCAATATCTTCTGTAACCATCTATGATTGATGTCTTGGAAGGATATTGCCAACAGAAGGAATGACATGTGCAATGGTATCTTCTAGGAACTAAAAGTTCTTGAGGACTGCTAAAGCATAGGTTCTGTTGAAGTGATTGGGGAGAAAAGCAACTGGGCATGTTGGGAAAGATTAACGAAGGTTGCATGGATAACGCTAAGAAGTTTGTCCTTTATGCTGCAGGCAGTGGTAGATGGGTGTTTTACAGATAAATGACAGACTTTTCCTGGAAGCCTTAAATTTTTGCTGACAGCTCAGCAGTCTTTAGGTAATTTTCTAAAATCCTCTGGGTTTTCTTTAAACAAAATGGTTCTACCTTCCTCTGCACAAGATGTAAAATGTTCTGAGCACACTATGTGCGTATCACATGCCACTGATACCTGGTCTTCTGTTAAGTCACCATATATCAGATTATGAATATCAACTCCACACATATTTTTAAAGAAACATAAATCATTTTATACCCCCATCCCACACATATTATTTTCTTACATTTATTTATTTTATCATAATTAAGGTA
This sequence comes from Homo sapiens, assembly GCF_000001405.40. Lineage (NCBI taxonomy): Eukaryota > Metazoa > Chordata > Mammalia > Primates > Hominidae > Homo > Homo sapiens. The sequence continues at coordinate 93,349,865 of NC_000004.12, read as the reverse complement.
TAATATTTGTCTACTTATCTGAGTTTAAGGCATAGAGAAGGCATTTTTATTGTTATTGTTCCATTAGGATTTTTTAGTTTATTTGTTTTCGGTTTTAAATAAAAAAGAACTGCACTAGAAATAATCCTGCCCTGGAACACTGAGAGCTGGATGCTCACTCTAATATGTGACTTTACATTAAGGTGACTTTTAGCAAAGTCATATACTATATATAAGCTTAAATTTTCTCCTGTGTAAAATGAAGGAATACAATTAGGAGACTATGACTCTTCCATTTTTAAAATTTTGCTTTTCTATTATGTGCAAAACTCTGCTAAATTCTATGGGGCTAGAAGGAGCAATATTCTAGTGTAACTTTTTTTCAGCATGCTTTCTTTATTTGAGAATATTCTGAAAATTTCCATGAATGAGAGAGAAAAAAGAAATATAGAAAATATTCAAAATACAGCCAAATTATTAATCATTTCATTCAAGTATCAGCATGGATGGTAAAAGAAAAAAAAGTATGCAGTTGTGTTACCTCTTGAGATTATTCAGTTGAAAATACAGGTTTAGAGAGCTCATTTTATAGAAAGCCCCAAGTAATGGAGTAGATGGCAAACTACGCATTTGACTTTCATTTCTCCTGTGTGAGATAAGACATATTTCATTTTCATGTGAAAATGATAATATATGTACATGTGAACATATAATTTGTGACATCTTCATACAATATTCACATGATGTGAAAATGTGCCTGTATATATGAAGAGGCATTAGTATTCTCCTTGAACTCTGATAGTTCTTTCTCGCCTGCCATTCTGACTGCATCTATCAAGCGAAGATGTGAATGGAATTTGCTTTTAGAGGCAGTTTCAGCAGCAAGAGAGAAGAATATCCAAGCTAATAAATAAATAAATAAATAGCCAGCCAAGAAGGCAGGCCCTGCCTGGGTCTGCTGAGTACCCATTATTGTCCATTCTGTGCAGCTTTCTATGTAGATCTGATTTTTAAAACAATATTTTTGCAAACATATACTAGGAATAGAAGACTATATTTACTGCTTTATAAAACCAAGCATCTTTTTATATTTTATTTGATTGTTTTCCCTCTACGTGTAGTTGGTCTTCTGCACCCATGCTGATATATACCCAGAATATGCTAAGCAGAGGTCCAGTAGAATGATGAATGCTCCAGTTCCTCTGTGGGAAGCAGTCTATGAGTGCCAATGTCCCCCAAATTCTAGAGGTAACCCCAGCACAGTCTGGGGCCTCATCTTCCAAAGAATAATTTCCAAGGAGGCCATTCCAGGAGATGGCATTTATCCATTTTCTAAAGCATAGGTGAAGGCCATGAGCCCCGCAGGATTAGTTATGATTTAAACACTTTGCTTCGGACATTTTCATTAACTGCATTGACACTAACTATAAATTATTCATTTTATTTGTACTTCATTGCACTTCTAATATGTAATTATGACATACAAATTTGAGGAAGCTCATCTTTATAAACTGATGTTTCACTTTCAGCTTGGGTTCAAATATACATTGCTATGTGTTTTGCAAAATGCTTAGGATATAGAATAGAATTAAACAGATATTACCTTCAATAACATGTGTATGAAGTGAGTAATGATTTTTGTCAGCATAGTTTGACCTTGTGTTATATAAAATAACTTTTGGAATAGTTTTACTTAAATAAGATAAGCAATATAGTAGATATATGGTTAGAAAATTTTATGCATCAATACAGCCAAAATGCCAGTCTTCAAAGATGCTTTCTTAGCAAATCTTTGTGCCATTACAGAAATGTTAATCAAAGTAAGTATCCAATTTTCTGGTTTATGGATTGAAACATTTCACAAGTATATAAAGACCCAGATTTATCATGACATGTTAAATCTCCAAGAACTTTGCTCCCCAAAAACGTCACTGACCCATATTTTAGAGACACAGATATTAGAAAATTTCTCCAAATAATAAATTTTTGATATTGTTCAATGCAGCAACCAGCTTTCATTTTTTTCAACAGAGATGCAGTATAAGGTAGTGTTTAAGTTGCGTACTCTGGAGTGCAACTGCCTGGGACTGAATCTAGCTACTTTTACTAACTTGATGACCTTAAACAAGTCACAAATATATTGTACCTCAGTTTCCCCATATGTAGAATGAGATAACAAATAGTAATTACCTTACAGGGTTGTTAACTAAGTAATACATTAGCAAATATATGGAAAGCGCTTATATGAATAACTGGCATACAGTAGACTTAATAGAGTGTTATGATTACTATTATCTTAGTGTAGTGTTTAAGTGTAACGTCAAACACTATGATGAAAATCATATAAGGAATAATTTTTTCTCAACTACCACTTATAGGAAATCTCTGCTTTTTCTCCAAGTCTAAAATAAAAGTATGACATATCATCTGTTCCTATATTTTTTATTTTTGCAACAACTATTTTATACTTACTAATAAAGACATGAAACTTTAAAAGGTGTAATAAAATTATGTTTTGATGTACTTACAAATTAAATGTGTTTGAAGGAAAAAAGTGTATCAGATTATTAATCCTGGTGGTTGATTGCCAAACACCAAGAAAAATTAGCAAAAATGCCTAAATGATAATATTTAAGTACTTCAAAAGTTATTAATTTTTTTTAACAACTTGAAATTTATTCTGAAATAGTACAACATAAATTCAGCTTCCCATGGTAGTGTGAGAGTTAGATCCCACTCCTGGTGTGAAAGCAAGCAGAAAGTGAGAGTGAAAGCTGAGTGGAGGCTGGTGAAGGGTCTGCAAAGCCAGTTCCACTCCAGGGAGCTCCGCGCCGCAGTGGTGAGGCAAGGAAAGACCGAAAGATGCTGCTAGGTTACCACTAACCCTGAAGATGGTCTCTGATAGGAGCAGGGCAGGAAAATTGGAAGGCAAGCATACCAATGACAGCTCAGTAAGCTCCCTACAGGGATATTATTTATCAAAACTTAGCAGGACTCCTATTTATGAATTATTAAACAGAATAATAAAGAGGTATGACAGGTTTGTAATATTCTAACATTTACCCAAGGCTTTCTTAATCCAGTCTATTCAAATCTCTCTGACATTGATATTATACTAAAAATCTGTTGAGATGAGATTCGCTTAGGAAAGTTCAGTTATTTCCGAATTTCAGATAAAAATGCAACATTGAATGTGGCAACTTTCAAATGAGCCAGGAAAGATATTTTACTCTAAAAAAGAACCAATTTTCATGGCCATTAAATTATTAGAACAGGCTTTGGTGGGAAAACTGAGTTTAATGACACAACAATGAAACAAATTTTCCCCAATCTCCTCTTGCACTTAGTCCACACAAATTTATCACCTTTGGGCTACAATCAGTGTGGAACAAAAAATAAAAATAAAAATGTAGCAAGATCAGAGAAGGGGGAAAAGAAGATGAATTGTGAGAGAGAAAGGAGGAAATGCTGTTTTGGAGTATTGTGCTGAAGAGGGAGCAGGAAGTCAAAGCTTCCAGTCCTATTTGTTCTCATTTCCACACACATATATAACCATGAGGCATTTCTAAAAATGTAATAGTAATAGGAATTTCGACCTCAAATATAATTTTCTCTTTGCTTTTCATTATATAATTGTAAAAATCTGTTGCCATAAATAAAAAAGTCACAAGTTTCACATTTGAAATCAAACTACTAATTTTAATTCAAGGTAACTACAGAAAAAAGAAAAATAATCCTAAAATTTGCATGGAGACCTAAAATACCCAAATAGTCAAAGCAATCTTTGGCAAAAAATAGCTGGGGGAATCACAGTACCTGATTTTGATATATACTACAAAGCTATAGCAATTAAAACAGCATGGTGTTGGCATAAAAACATACATATAGACTAAGGGGTCAGAAGAAATAGCCTAGAAAAAAATCCATGCATATACAGTCACTGATTTTTTTAAAAAGTTGCCAAGTACACAAAATGGGAAAAGGACAATCTCTTCAATAAATGTGCATTGGGAAAACTGAATATCCACATGCAGATGAATGAAATTGAATCCTTATCTCACACTAAAAATAAAAATCAACTCAAATTGGATTTAAGACCTAAACATAAGATCTGAAACTATAAAACTACTAGAAGAAAACATAGAATTAAGGCTTCTTGACATTGATCTGGGCAAGGATTTTTTTTGGGCTGTAACCACAAAAGCACAGGTAACGGCAACAAAACAGACAAATGGGATTACATCAAACCAAAAAGCTTCCTCAAGCAAGGGAAACAATCAACACAGTGAAGAGACAACCTACAGAATGGGAAAAAAATACTTGCAAACCGTACAAACTATTAATATCCAAAATATATAAGAAACTTGAACAACTCAATAGCAAGAAAACAAATAAACTGATTGAAAAATGGGCAAATGACCTGAATATACATTTCTCAGAAGATGACATGCAAATGGCCAACAGGGGTATGAAAAAACGCTCAACATCATTAATATTCAGGGAATGCAAATTAAAACCACAGTGATACATCACTTTGCACCAGAGAGAGTGGCTACTACTAAAGATAACAAGTATTGGTGAGAATGTGGACAAAAGGGAATGCTTATAGACTGTTAGTGGAAATTTAAATTAGTATAGCTATTATAGAAAACAATAAAAAGTTTCCCCAAAAAATTAAAAATTGGACTACCATGTGATCCAGCAATCCTACTTCTGAGTATATATACAAAAGAAATAAAATCAGTATGTTAAAGAGATATTTGCACTTTTGTGTTCACAGCAGCATTATTTACAATAGCCAAGATACGGAATCAGCCAACCTAAGTGTTCATTGACAGATGATTGAATGAAGAAAATGTGAGCTACACACACACACACACACACACACACACACACACACACTAGAATACAACTCAGCCTTTAAAAAGAAGGAAATGCTGTCATTTTTGATAACATGGATAAAACTGGAGGAACTTTTGCTAAGTGAAATAAGCTAGGCATAGAAAGACAAATACTACATGATCTCACTTATATGTGGAATCTAAAAGATATCAAATTCATACAAGTAGAGGGTAAAATGCTGGTTGCCAGGAGCTAGAGAAGGCTGGCGGTGGAAATGGGGAGATACTGGTTAAAAGATACAGTTTTACTTAGGCAGGATGAATAAGTTCAAGAGATCTACTGTATAATATGACTATAGTTAATAATAATATATTATAAAAATATACTGTAAATATATTAAATATATACAATATAAAATATATATTTAATATATTGCAAAAATTAGAAATTGCTGATTTAAGCTCTCCAATGCTCTCACAAAATATAAGTATGTGCAACAATAGATGTTAATTAGCTTGATTTAATCATTTCACAATAGGTACATATATCAAAACATTGCCTTGTATACTGTGAATACATACAATTTTTATTTGTCAATTTTACCTTAATAAAGCTGAGGGGGGAAAAAAGAAAAAGAAGCCACCCATGGCCACAGTTGAGGAATCATAAATAAATACATAAATGTTATGTAATTGGAATTTTCTGCTTAATTATGCTATGGTTTCTATGTTCCAGTCATGTCTACCTCCATAAAGTCTTATTTTTATGGAATCTTTGGCCATGCAGCAAAATTAGGTATATAAATACCCCATTCATGACAGTGTTGGCAATTAACATGGTTCTGAATGTTGATGACCAGTCTTGTAAGGGCTATCAGGGTGAATATAACCTTCCTATTACCTATTACTTCTGAATTTACTTGGAACAATTATAAGGCTTCTCCATGCATCAAGGAGGACTGTGTAATTTACTTATAACTATTACTTTGGAAAGGTCTTCATTTGAAATTTCAGACAATGTTATGGCTACTGCTCTGAAAGAAAAATGTGGTCTAAACATTTCAAAAAGAAAGATAATGAAGCAAGATGTTATTAATCTGAGATACTAATAGACCATTATATTCTAAACAGATTAAATGTTCAAGAATATTACAAAATGAAGATATTGTAGACTGCACTAATTTCTAATTTCTAAGCTTACACATTCTATAATCTAATATTTTGTATGTTGCACGATGACCTAAAATCTGACGGTTAGCCACAGGTCAGAGATCAGCATCCTCTCCAAAGTCTTCAAGATGAGGTAGAGCTTTCTATCTTTAACATAATATTTGATTCCCCAAATCTACCAAACATTTAAAAAAATTTTTTTGATGAATAATCAGAACAAAGGAATCAATGACATCAGAAAGATAAATAAATACCTGTAGACAAATTTACATGGAAAGATTTCTTTTTATGTTATCACTAATTTAACTTTTAGAGACCATTTTCAAAATGAAGGACTCTAAAGATTATTGCATATTAAATATTTCCCAATGCCCTTTCACTGTATCTTTTTTGAACATCTTGGGAAATAATGAATGTCTTATGAAGCGTACAGTTGAAAGTGGAAAACAAGTTGAAAAACAAAGGTTATCTTTCATCTGGGAGAACTTGAAATTTCTTACAAAACGTATGCAACTACTATGACACTATGCCCCATCTTTTCTTTTTCATACAAAATAATTAAAGAAAACACATCCCAATTCAAATAGTCAGATGTGAATGAAAATCAGATGGTAACCCACATAGCCAATTATATTATTTCTTAATTTTATAATTATTATAAGGGAACTTCTAATAACTTCTAATATGACCCAATACACACACACACACACACACACACACACACACACACACAGTCACCTCACACTTGGGAGAATAATAGCTGTAAAATCGGAAAGGCAAGAACTCACTTTACAGGCCCTCTTTATTGTCCTCAATATTTATCTTCTCTCATATTCTTGCACTTTACAATTCCCTTGTACAGAAATGCAGTGTTAAAATACTACAGAAAATCTGATGTCTCTTGCACTTAAGCTTCATGAATATTTTACTTGATACTCTGCCCTCGGGGGCCTTGCATCACTAAAGCATTATACCCTTTTCTTGATGCATAAATTATTCTAAAAATGCTTCCAATTTCAAGCAAGGTCAGCCTGAAAAAATCTGAAAATAAGCAGGCCTAATTTAATGCAGTTTGAATAAAAAAATACACAAGTTAAGAAGGAAACATAATAATTTGCAATTTGTTTTTCTTTATTTCTTTGCACCATAGTTGATTTTGCTCTGCATAACCAGTTATCACTTTTCCTAAAATAAAATTCATTTTAATACTAGGTTTTATATACAAATCATTCATTTTAGTGCCTATTCCTCTTTCATCAATTATTTATCACACACTTGTTTTGTCCCAGAAATGATACCAGGCACAAGGGATAAAGTGATCAATGAAAAACTTGTTTCTTGCCCTCACCAAAGTAACAAATCATTACAAATTGTGAAGAGTATGATTAAGGAAACCATGGATTTAGGAGGGGGAATGATAATAATAAGTTTTTTTTTCTCTTTTTAAATGAGGAAATGGATTTTAAGCGAAGTTCTGAAGAAACTAGCCCTGGGAAATACATAGCCCTGGGAAATGCAGAAGAGAGAGCAGTCTTGGCAGAAAGACAGCAGGGACAGGAAAAGTTGGCATATATGAGGGAAGAAAAAAATGACCATGGTGGTTTTAGCAAATTTAGCTAGTGCAAAGGGCTAAGGATGGAAAATTAGGCAGGGTCTAGATCATGGACTTATAGGTGTTGGACTTACATGGACTTACAGGTGTTGGTAAGGAGTTGGACTTTATTACTGCTATCACCGAAGAGTTTTTAGTAGTAGAGTGATATCATTTGATTTGCAGTATAAGATGCTATCTCACAGTGCTATACAGAGATGGATTATAGAGGGGTAGGATACAATATTGCATAGCTTGGACCAAGATAATAGTGGAATAGAAGGAGAGAAGATTCAGATAATAATTCAGAAGATAAGAGAGTAGATCTGGATAAAATCCTTTGTTCTATTCTATGGCAAAAATTACACTTAAAATTTTTGCAAAAATATATTTAGAAGAATAAAATATTTCTATTTAAACCACAGAATCACAAAGTCTGATAAGAACATAATATTTCACCCAGTTCAATATCTCACTTCATGATAGAGAAACTCAAGGTTCTGAAAGCTGAAATACCTTGCCCCAAATCCCACAACTCCTAGGCAAATCCAGGACTTTCCCAGCCTGTGGCCATTGGTCTACTCCACTTTATGTCATGTCATGTTGAGTTTCAGGATGAAATCACAAATAAGAAGATGTACACATAAAAACCATTACTAAAGGTTGGGAACAGTGGCTCACGCCTATAATCCTAGCAGTTTGGCAGGCTGAGAATGGGTGGATCACTTGAGGCCAGGAGTTCGAGATCACCCTGGCCAACATGGCAAAACCCCATCTCTACCAAAAATACAAAAATGAGCCGGGCGTGGTGGCGGGCACCTGTAATCCCAGCTACTCAAGGCTGATGCCTGAGAGTTGCTTGTACCCAGGAGGTGGAGGTTGCAGGGAGCCAAAATTGCACCACTGCGCTCCAGCCTGGGTGACAGAGTGAGACTCTGTCTCAAAGAAAAAAAAAAATAGTAGAAGGACTAAGAGGCTACAAATTACAATTGTTTAAAGGGGAAAAAAAAGTTTTAGAAATAAGCAAAATGGAAGACATGCTGTTTTACATTTGGTCATATGTAGTATCTACCGAAATTTTGGACCTTTTATCTTGTTTACTATAGAAATTTTAAATTATATATGTTATGCCTTTATGGATATGTTTTTATCATTTAAATAAACTGAATTAAAATGTGCTTTGAAAAAAGAAAGATTTCTGTATATCTGGTTCAAGATTTTAAACCGCTGTTTATCTACTTTCCCTATTGAGATTCTGTTAAAATTGTTGCAAGAATACAAAACAGAATAAATTAGATAGACCCACAATATACTCTGAGAAGCCCAAGGAGAGTCTTGGGCCTTGGAAATGCCAGGCATAAAGAAGGGTACAAGTAAAAGATGGGCCTAAGCACTGGAGTATTAAATGAAAATCTATATGGGCAGTTAAGACTCCCATCTCTTTCCCCATGTTGCTGCCAGGTATTTACCATTCAATTTTCCCTCCAAAGAGAAAGCCCTCTGAGAGCTCTAGGTATAAATGTTACTGCTCCTAAGACAAACTCTTTCATCTTCGGGACATTAGGTGACTCCAGCTTAATAGTGGACCTCTTACCTCTCCACCAGTCAGTAAACCCATAGAAATATCAGAGAACAGTGTGTAGTGCATCACTTTAAAGAGGAACTAGTGTCATCAGACATTTGAGAAAAAGAGCAACTTAAAATCAAAGAAGGAACCAAAAACTGAAAATAATCTAGAAACCAGAATACACTTACACAAAACAACCAAAAAAACTCCTCCCCTTCTAATTAGCACTTCAGAGAGATTCAAGTATATATGGCTCCCTAAAGGTAAGATTAAAATGAACATCTGAAAATTAAAAAGAAATAAAACAGCAGGAACCCAAAGAAATTTTAAATGATTAACAAAATTTTAAAAAAGTAATAGCCTAGAATGACAAAAAAGAACTTTAAGAAAAAGAAAGACAGACAGAAAAGGGGCATAGTGGGCCAATTTAGGAGCTTCAACATTTTTCTACAGAAAGTTAAAAAAAAAAAAAAAAAAGAGAGGAGATAATGGGTTGAAGTTATCAAATTATGTCATAGAATTTTCCAGAATTTAAAAGTTTTCATGTGCTAGAATATACTAGTTACACAGCACAAGGCACAAAAAAATCAAAAAGGAAAATTGCAGTTAGACACACCTTTGGGAAACTGCAAACAACAAAAGATAAATAGGTGATGTGGTTAGGCTTTGTGTTCCCACCCAAATCTCATCAGAATTATAATCCCCATAATACCCATAATCCCCACTTGTCAAGGGAAAGGCCAGGTGGAGGTAACTGAATCATGGGGGCGGTTTCCCCAATGCTCTTCTTGTGATAGTGAGTGAGATCTCACAAGATCTGAGTGTTTTATAAGGGTTTTTTCCCCCTTGGCTCAGCACTTCTTCCTGCCACCTTGTGAAGAAGGTGCCTTGCTTCCCCTTCGCCTTCCACCATGATTGTGTTTCCTGAGGCCTCCCCAGCCATGCTGAACTGTGAGTCAATTACACCTCTTCCCTTTAGAAATTACCCAGTCTCAGGCAGTTCTTTATAGCTGTATGAAAATGAGCTAATACAGATAAAGAAAAATTTTTTCCTGAGAGAAAGAAACAAGGTCACTATATTTGTTTCCTAGGGCTGTTATAACAAAGTACCACATACTGGGTGGCTTAAAACAGAAATTTATTGTCACACAGTTCTGGAGGGAAATCCATAAGCAAGGTATGGTCAGGGCCATATTCCCTCTGAAACCTGCAGGGGAACCCTTTCTTGCCTCTTCCTAGCTTTTGGTGGTTGGCTGGCAAACTTTGGCATTCTCGGCTTGCAGCTACATAACTCCAATCCCTACCTTCTTCATCACAAGAAATCCTCCCTGTGTGTCTCTGTCGTCAGTGGGTCCTTCTTACAAGGACACCAGTCATATTAGATTACTGGCCCATCCTTTCCAGTGTGACCTCATTTTAATGTAATTAGTTAAGATATGAATGGACACTATTTCCAAATAAAGTCACATTTTGAAATACCAGTTGTTAGGACTTCAAGATATCTTTTTTGGAGGAGACACAATTCAACCCATAACAGTCACTGACACAGAAATAAGAATCAGGTTGGCATTAGTGGTCTTGTTAGCAACAATAAATGCTAATAACATGAAGCAATGCCTCCAGAATAGGTAGGAGCTCTGTTTGTTGGCAGAAGGCCTCAGACCCTCACCACATGGACCTGTCTGTATGGCTGCTTGGTGTTCTCACAACTTGGTAGCTAGCTTCCTCTAAAGCAAGTGATTCAAGAAAGTCAGGCCGAAATCACAATGACTCTTTCATCCTAAAGTCACATACAATTGTTTCCTATTGGTTACACAGATCAGTCATTTTGTGAGGGAGGAGCCTTCACAAAGAGCTGAATACCAGGAAAAAAGGCTCTTTGGGGGTCATATTGGACACAGGCTACTACAGGGAGAGAAAAAATAACATAAATGAGCCAAATTTTCATTATTGCAGGAAATCAGAAGATAATGTATAGAACTGATAAATCAAAAAGTAGTGGTTTGCATACTGGTTTAAGGTATGGAGGTAGTCAGTGGTGTGATAGAGCCAGCTTGAACAAGCTCACAAGATCCAAATGTTAAATTTTCAGAAGTTTTGTGAGCTGGTTAATAAACATAGCCATGACTAAAAATCAAACTGTAAAACTTTATAAATACAAAATTTATATTATAAAAATTATATTCAAACTTGTCACTTCCAAATTACTTTACTACCTTTTACTGTTATCTACATTCTTGAGAATGATTCACACCTATTGCATCCATATGGCAGCATGCTATGCAATGGAATGCTACTGCACGTCCCCTCCCAACTGCATGCTTCGCTATGGCAAATTGGCGACTTGTAATCGAGAACATTTACACCACAGAGATCATCCTGCACCGCATATAAGGGCTTGATATATTGCTTTGTTGATTGGATTTAGGAAAGTCATGGAGAAACTGTCAATAACGGTGATTCCATTTAAAACTGTGTGATTTGTGTGGCCACTAAAATATAAATAGCACCAAAAAAATGAGAAAATATGCTTCCTGTTCAAAAACTGTTATGTATTGTAGCAAAAAAAAATTCACATCACTGATGAATGGTCAAATTTAGACATATACTTCATCATTTAATTTGTATCTTATATAAACAAAATATATCAACCAACATTGTTATTGGGACTAAACCTGGAGAGCCAGCTGTTAATTTACCAGCACATTGTTAGAGATAACAAATCAGAAAACTAAAACCTAAGAGTTCAAAGTGTTTACTTCTGAGGAGAGGGACTAGGGAAGGCAAAGGGTGGAGCAGGGACTAGGGAAGGCAAAGGGTGTATTTCAAGCCCTTTTTAAATTATTTTTGAAAAATGTACAAATACTAGTTTGAATGGAAAGCTTTAGTTTTAAAAAGTTTGCATGTAATTTACAAAATTCAATGTAAAGCAAACGTTTAAATTTACTCATATAAACATTTTTATTTGTCCGGCCACAAGTTTTGAGAGATTAGTCTTCATTGGTCTCTCATATTTCTGTATATCTTGTGAGCAGAGGCCATAACTACTTTTTTGTTTATGACCAGCTTTTCAAGGATGCTTATATAGAGAAGATCTTGGAAGATAGAGATAATGCCTCCCTTCAAAGCAAAGAACAGGTTTGCTTGCTATCCAATATAATAAAGATAGTGTCTCCCTTCGAAGCAAAGAGCAGTCATTCCTCCTGCTTATTATAAAAGATTGGGGTTGTCTAAGGCTGGGGTTCCTCAGCGATAATGCAAATCTGTGATGTGTTCAACATTCATGTGGGCTCCTCTGTGTCACCTCAGTGAGGTCCTCTGTGTCACCTCCTGGTGGTGATGGGAGTGGGGCAGGGGAGCTGAAGCAAACATGAAACTTGTGCCACTTCCTTAGACAGGAATCTCATGTCTCTTGGCATTATTTATGAAACTGCGGAAGGTTAATTTCTTGGCCTGCAAGTACAGTAAAATTCAACCTTTCAAAATGTTTAAAAATAAAACCCTAAAAATCCATCAAATTATCAAGAAAAAAAATTATTTACTTTCTTCGTGTTTATCTCAGGCAACATAAGTAAATCCTCTTTCCTATATTTATTTACTTCTCTATGGAATGTTATAAAATTACAAGAATTGTGGCTTAACACTTAATACTGAGATACATGAAAAGTACTAGTAATATAAACTGAAATAATTACTTAAGAAACTTCTCCCCACAAGGGATAAGTAAAGATTTGAATTGCTTCAATAATTTTTGGATGCCACATCTTTTACAAAATATTTACACTAAAGTTAAAATTTATTTAATTGAAAATAATCAATATTAAAATATAGAAACAACTATAAATAAAAATAAAGAACCAAACAAAGAAATAGAAAACTGGACTTTGATATGAAAAATCAACAGTAAGGGTTAATGTAATATAAATGATACACAAAACCTTCACTGATATTTCAGGGGGAAAGTAAAACAAATATGATGTCATTTACAATCACCCTTTTTTTCTTGGACAATACCAGGAGCTATTTAGAATGAGGCAAAATAGGGACTTACATGCTACTGTTGAGAGTGACAATTGGCACATCACCTTGGGGAGCAATTGTCAACACCTAGGGAATTTGCAGATGCTCATACCCTGTATCAGTAGCTACACTTATAGGCATTTATCCTAGAGAATATCCCACACATATACCTGAGAGCATATATACCATGATGTTTGATGAAGCATTGCTTGTTTTAGTGGGAAAAAACCTAAATAACCTAGATATTCGTTGTAGAACCACATTACCAGAAAGCTGTGATTTATGTGGCTTATTCTTCCAGTGAAATGTCATATAGCAGTAAACATGACTGAAATAGAGCTACCTACATTAGCATAAAAAATATGTTGAAAGAAAAAAAGAAATATTTAAAAACATAGAATATCATTGCTATAAATTCTTAAAATATAGAATATAATAATGGTATAAATTTGGGGGTATACAAAAGGAATACAGTTCAAAAGACTGCACAGAAATTATTTACACCAACTTATTCTGTAAAGAAAGAGAGGAGAAGGGACAGATATACGCTTTTATGTATCTACAATTTTATTTTCATTAAGGCAAATATGGCAAATGTTAATAGCTGTTTAAACTTGGTGGCAAATATATAGATATGTGTTATATTATTTTTTGTAATTGTCTATATTTTTGAAATGTTTTAGAGAAAAAATTACTTTGATAAGAAAGGAAGGACAGGTGTGGTGGCTCACGCCTATAATCCCAGCACTTTGGGAGGCCAATGTGAGCAGATCGCTTGAGCCCAGTTTAAGACCAGCCTAGAAAACTTGGTGAAACCCTGTCTCTACAAAAAAACTAGCCGAATATGATAGTGTGCCTGTAGTCCCAGCTATTCAGGAGGCTGAGGTGAGAGGATCCCTTGAGCCCAGGAGGTGGAGGCTGTGGTGAGCCCTGATTGTCATGCCACTGCACTGCAGCCTGAATGCTGAATGACAGAGTGAGACCCTGTCTCAAAAAAAAAAAAGAAAGAAGAAAGAAAGAGAGAGAGAAAAAACAAGAAGCAAAACACATGTTGCTAATTTTTAAAAACTTAAAATTTGAAATATTCAAATTATTTTCTGTTTCATTGGGAGTAGGCACAAAGTTTAGTTGTTATTGTTGTTACTGTTGGTTGGTATTTTTATGCTAGGTTTGTATTGCCTGTGCCCAAATAAGTGTGCTTAAGACAATATAAAACATGTTGTTAGGATCTGTAAAATTACCAAATGACAACATATTCTATCTAGTACAAAGATAATCCAGTCTCTTCAATTTGGGTGTGTGTAATCAAGGGTGCCTAGACAGGTGTTTAACTCTTTCTTCCCACCGCACACCGGAAGTATAAAGAACTCAGAAAAGACACAATTACCTCTCACTACAGTATGGGCAAAAGTCCATCTTCCTGTTATTAGATCATTGACTTTACCTCTGAGTTGCCTAAAGTGTCAGAGAGATTCCTTTTCATTGAAATATGTGAATATCACACAAAATTTTTAAATTATGGGTATTGCTAATTAAGTATTAGTTATAAATCACTGCGTCACACAGTTAAATCTAGTGAATGACATCAACTATATACATATTGTTTGCAAATGTGAGTATTGACATATTAAAATGATAGAGATGTTTTGCTATCACCAATTAAATTAGTATATTAGTACATAGCTACATTAGAAAAAACTTAACATGATTGATTGTTTATGAAAAACAGCAGCTAAAGACCAGAAATTCTTTTTTTTTTTCTTTTTGAGACGGAGTTTTGCTCTTGTTGCCCAGGCTGGAATGCAATGGCGTGATCTCAGCTCACCGCAACCTCTGCCTCCCGGGTTCAAGCGATTCTCCTGCCTTAGCCTCCCGAGTAGCCGGGATTACAGGCATGCACCACCACGCCCGGCTAATTTTTTTGTATTTTTAGTTGAGATGGGGTTTCTCCATGTTGGTCAGGCTAGTGTTGAACTCCTCACCTCAGGTGATCTGCCTGCCTCAGCCTCCCAAGACCAGAAATTTTAATAGGTCATGATTTTGACTAAAACTGTACTGCTTTCTTCAGGGGCAAGCACTTTTGTTTGTTCTTCTTAAACCCAATGCTATTACATGTTAGCATTATCAGGGTCCAATATAACCACCAGATCCTTTTCTTGTAATAAATGTTTATATGGGTAAAGGGACAGAACTAATAACACATCATAATTTCATAATATTTTATGGCTAGTTTAGTGATCCATATAAATTGTCCTAGAGGTCTAATCATATTATTTAGAGAGCAGATGCTGCACAAAAAGTGCGACGGTTTTTTTTTCACAGTAAGTCTCCAGTGAAGCTGACTTATTGTCATAGGGTTCATCTCTAGGGAGGTCTGGCATTCAGTTTCAAAACGATTTAGAGTCCTAACACTGTCTACAAGGGCATTAATAATTTGCATGCTGTGGGAACTTGTCTACAGTGAACTAGACTGAAACCATTCTGTATTTCACATTAGTACTAGAGCAGCTGTTGATGTTAGCAGTATTAATCACAAGCAACTTGGACTGGAATCAAAGTGACCTAGAAGAGCTACTTTCTACATCTTGCTATGAATTCCCTAGGGCAAAGACATTATGTGGCAATATGTCCACATTAAAAGAAAGTATATCCTTTGATTATCTCTTATTCCAGTAGAGTCTATGACAAACAAGGGAACTGCATCTATTGTACTAGCTATCACTGTCTGGGGATGGCACTTCAAAACTGAAAAAGGTAAATTTTCCCCCACAAGAAATGATGCTATTATTATTAAGTTACTGGATCAGTGAATAACATTTTTTTTTAGGTTCTCCTTGTATAAGACTTAAATACAAGATAAAAAGAAGAAACTTTATTGACTCATAAGTAAACTTTCAGATTAGGAGAAATAAAATATAAAAGTGCAAAAACAGAGAAGCCAGGGATGTTTCTTTGCAAGTGTTTTCCATTTTCCAGGTGAATAATAAGATCTAAGTTAAGTCTGAAAGATAATGCACAATGAAAATAAACTCTTCTATGCCTTTACAACCACACATGAGGAAATGGTTTGATTTGCTCATCCCAGTGGATATTTAAGTATTGTCTTTACAAAGGATACTAGTAGTGGTATAAGAACCATGCCTGTATGACAGGGGTTCTTTGTTTCAGTTCTCAGAAGGGGAAGACAAGAAAAAGGTTTTGAATTTGCCACATGTGATTTTAAAAAAATGTATGGTGGGAAGTTACTGTTTGTAAAGGAGAGACACACTGAAAAGTTTATGGAACTTTGACATTACATTAGAGCACTGAACAGGACCAGTACATAATAAATCCTTTGGAACTTGTTAATCAAAAGTGCAGTCTATAGACCAGCAGCATCAACATCACCTAGTATGTAGGGTTGTAGTATCTCAAGCTTCATTCTATACCTTCTAAATCAGATGTGCATTTTACAAGATCCTGGAGCAATTCAACTGCACATTAAAGTTTAAAAAGTGCTACTCTAGAATGAGTTAAAAAAACATATCAGAAGGCTTTCTAGAGAGCTGTTTACTTTCCTAAAGGGACAGGTGGCTGGGAGGCCTACCTGTAATTTGTGTTAAAAGCTAAAAAAGGCTTAGAGCACCCAGAAGCTAACAGTCAACAGATCATTATCATTATTATTATCATCAAATACATGATGAATGAATGGCCTAATCTTCTAGGAATAAAGCATGTTTTATCAAAGCCAGTATGGTTGGAGAAATTGCTATTACATTTAGTTATGACTGGTGGTGATCGCAGCACATCAAAAAGGGACTGTTTCAAGCAAAGCCTTCTGAAGAGCATGTGATTAATTACCTGGGGAGAAGAAAAGGCTGCATAAAGAAAGGCGTCTCATTAGGAGTTTTAGTTTTAGCCCCTAGGTCCAAGAAAACAAGAAAGCTATAGCTTTCTGGGTAACGTAGAGAGGCAGTTCTCAAAGGATGGTGTGGAAAGAGTCTGTACCCAAGAACATATTCCTATGCCTCTTAACTAATTTATATCTCCTGGCATGTCTTAAAACAATGTGACATATTATTGGAATGTCTTTTGCTAATATAACATTATAACAAATTTCTTTATGAACAGCTCTCTTGTAGATACTACAGGGAATACATAATCCCTATTACTGCCTTAATTTTAATATTATTAATCCTAGCAAAACATGTGGTATATATTAGACTCCTCTGGTTGTAAGTAATAGAAACAACTTAAAATTCTTTGGAAAAAAGAAGAGCAATTTATTGGCTGCGTGGATACAGAAAGGGGATTAAATGACTTACACATATGTATGACAGGATGCAGCTAGGACTTAGAACCAACTGGAAGTAGGAATGCAAACATTCCCAGTTCTCTCTCTCTCTCTCTCTCTCTCTCACACACACACACACACACACACACACACACACGCACACACACACACACTCTTTTTCTGGCTTTTAACTTCTCTTATCTTTGAGTGGGCCTAATTGTCTTTCTTCTGTAAGTCAAATTTTGTCCATGTGTTCAGAAACAAGACAGCGATTCCACTTGAGTTGTACTTCTTATAGTTACTATCGTTGAAGTGGGTTGGCAATACATTCTGTGTTCTGAAGTTCAAAATTTCAGGCAAGTCTTATATTTCTCAGTTTAAGTTAGATGCTATATGTAGACCAATTAGCTTTCACCCTGAAGGGGCTCTTGTAAGTATCGAGCTCTGACTCTGAATAAAATGAAAGCTATTAGAGAGTAAGAACATGACAATTTTATAGAAACTAATAGCTAGGGGGAAAAGAAGAACAGTTCCATAAAGAGGAAGAACTGACCAGAAAAAAATAACTTGTGTCTCTTTACAACTATTACCTAATTGCTAACTGAACCCTTTTAAGAACCCTGTAAAGTATGTTTTAGATACTTATGGATCAATTATTATTTATATTTACAGCTGATAATTGATAGAGTCTACCAGTCTGACTCTAGTTCCTGCACACTAATGCATTTTGCTATATTAACTCCTATATATGTGTATGTATTCATTCATTTATTCTACAAATGTTTGTTGAATGGCTGCTATTGCTAGCCACTCTTCTAGGCTCTAGGGCTGTGCTGATTAAAATCATATACTTTTGGAGATTATATTCTGGTGGAGAATGCCAGATAATACACATAACAAATATGTACAAAGGTACAATATATACTACCTATCTTGTATGTGATCAATGTTACAAAAAGAAAGAATCAGGTTGTGGTATCAGGAGTGTTGAGGCCATGATTGCTGTTTTGAATGAGGAGTAGAGGTCTGGGTCCACGTTACCAAGAATGTAATAATTGAGCAAAGACTTGAAAGAGGTCAGGAAATGAGCCATGGCTATATACGGGAGAAGAATTTCCCAAGCAGAGAGAATAACTCCCAAGCAGAGAGAATAAAACAATTGTTTTTGTGATTGTGTCTATTTTCTCAGAGAGAAATATTCAAGGAACATAGTGTCTCTGGAGTCTCCAGAATGAAGTGGAAAAGGGGGAAGCAGAGGATATAATACTGGAGAGATAATGAGTGAAATGGGGGGGGGGTTAGATAGCAGCAGGCACTGAGGCTGTTGTATTATTTTTGTTTTTGTTGCCAATGAAATGAGATTTTGGAGAGTTTTGAACAGAGAAGACAAATGATCTGATATACTTTTTAAGATAATTTTTCTGGCTACTCCTACTGAAAAGAGACAAGAGTAGGGAGACAGCTATGAGAATGTGCCTTTCAGTAATCTGACTTCAGGGAGCAAAATCACCAATGGCCCCAGCTGCTGTGTTCTGTAATCTATCACTACCTTGTCTGGATCCTCTTCCAATCAACACCTCAGAGAAGGGGAATAGATTAGAAGATTTGAGAAGAAATATACTTGAAAAGAAAGAGAAGGTGTGAAAGATTCTTCTGACAGGGTTGTCTATATGGAGTAAATGGCCTTCCTATAGGTTTGCATGGAATTGTGTGTATACAGACTCATCTAAACAGATATATGGAAGACAAAGTGCATCCCATTCACAGTAGTGATCCAGGGAGAGTAGCGTTGAAGAGTAGGGTAGAACTGAGGTAGGACTCTTGGTTTTTATTTTGTAAATTTCTATTTTATTTGATATTTATAATAAGCTGGCATTACTTTAAAAATTAATATGTGTTAAAACAAATACTAAATAAAATATATGTTTTAATGAAGAAATGAAAATATTTCTTTCAATACATGTATGTAGCAATTAACTAAATATATAATCAGTGCAGATATTCTCTCTCCAATCTAAGGACACTGAAGAACCTTGCCTGGTAATCACCCATGTGATGGGATGGACAGATCTGAAGCAGAGATGGAGTCTCCTAACTCCTGATTCTTCTCTTATTTCTGGAGAAATAAGGGTCTTCCACCTCACTCCCTAACTTTGATATCAGAACTAGGAGAGATAGGGTTTTGTGAACCTCCCCTTAAACAGAATCACATGCACTACTATGTTATTTTAAATGATATTTCAAGCCTGAATATAAAGGAGCAGGAGAAAGCACTTTTGTTTGTTCTTCTTAAACCTAATGCGATTAAATATTAGTATTATCTGGGTCTAACACAACCACCAGGTATTTTACCTGTAATAAATGTTTATATGAGTAAAGGAACAGAACTAATAATAGGTTATAATTTTATAATATTTTATGGCCAGTTTAGTGATCCATATAAATTGCCCTGGAGATGTAATCAGATTATTCAGAGAGCAGAAGCTGCACAAAAAGTACAATTTTTTTTTTTTTCGCAATAAGTCTCCAGTGAGCCTGGCTCTTTTCCTATCCCTAGCAGAATCCTACGTTTGTAAAGATTATCACAGCTGTGTCCTGTAGGGGACTCAGATACCCAATGTCTTGCCAAGATATTTGCATAGTAGTCAGCTTTTAGTAGCCACCATTTTCTGTTAAGGTCTGTGTCCTTGAGAAAATATTTAACAGTTGCACTTAATGTGGTATCCTCTTGAGATTTAACTGTTGTTAATTCTAAATTTTTACTGTGACTGTTGCAGACAAATCTGGGGACTTATTCACAAATTTGCCATCCTTTGATATTCAGTAATAACAGAGTCATCTCTTTATTAGTTTCCAAATAGTTATTTCATACTATCTTTCCAAATGTTTAATTAGGATCTTGAGAAACTATTATTAGTTTTCTTTCATGATAGCATGACCTAATGTATTGATAACATGACTCAGATCTTGAATCTAAAGAAGAATCTTAGACATATTATTATTAACAGATATCAAAAACATAGAGACATTCTTCAAAACTAGGAAATGCCAGCATGCAATGAAGGGAGCATTTAAATACTATAGACTAAGGGTGTTTACTGATATAAATTCAATGTATTAATATTTAGTATAGCGACAAATGTCTTCTAATAGTCATAATGTCAATGCCTCCAGTTTTCTTGATATGTGTAATGAATTGTATTGAGACATTATCTTATTTGACTCTTCTGTAGTTTTTCAGATTCCTGACTAGTTCTTCCTTCTTGAAACCCCTTTATCTTCTAGTTTCAACTAACTCATACTTCCTTAGCTCTCCTCTTAAGTCTCTAATTGATGCTTCATATTCCCTTTGGTGGGATATTCTTTCCAATTTTTAATTCATTTATTAAATAAGTCAAATTGATTGAACATCTCCTATATGAAGGACTATAGTAGGTACTAAAACTGCAGCAAGAAAAAAATTCAACATGGTTTTATCTTTAGAAAGCATAAAATAAGTATCGGCCTTCTCTAGAGTTTTATCCTTGCTGTGCTATCCCTGGACGATTTCATCCAGTCCAATGAATGATTGATGAATTCATGCCTTTCAAATCTGTAATCCTGTATATATCCTGATATACATTATTCCCACATAACCTACTGATCCTGAGCAGCTCCACCTGAGTATCATTTGTCTATCCATCCATCCATCCATCCATCCATCCATCCATCCATCCAACCATCCATCCATCCATCCATGCACTTAATCAACATATATATAGGCCATAAAGGTAAATAAAATAAAACCAAAACTTTGTTCTCATGAAATTTGGAATAAATTTGAAAATGTAGATAATACAAAAGAAAACAAATATGTAATAGCTTTAGATTGTGATAAATGTCATAAAGGACTCATATGTATAAGATATTAGGTAGCTGTGCAAGAGTGGTTATTTTAGATAGTGTTATAAGGAAATGCCCCTAAAAGATGACATTTGTTTAGGATCAGAATAAAGTACTGGAGTGGGAAAATCAAAGAACTGGGGAAAGAGTATCCCAGATGAAATGGACTTTCTTTTTCATACAATGAAAATAATGTCAGTGCAGCTAGAATGGGGCATGCAAAGGGGTAAATTCAAAATATATCACTGATATGCTGCAGAGATAAACAGGGGCAGATCACATAAAGAGTTTGTAGTTCATTCTAAATAAGGTGGAAAGACATTGGAGGTTTTAGCTCATAAGTGGCATTATCTCATTTACATCTTTAAAAGTGCATATTGCTTGCTAAAGGACATGTTTTTTGTTTTTTTTTTGTTTTTGTTTTTGAGACGGAGTCTTGCTCGTTCACCCAGGCTGGAGTGCAGTGGCGCGAAAGTGCTGGGATTACAGGTGTGAGCCACTGCGCCCGGCCAGGACACGTTTTAAAGGAGGACAGTAGAGGAGAAACTAGTTAGTTTTCTTCAGTCACCTACTTGGATTTCTATTAACCTATTATTGAAGCACAGGTATGAGATGATGGTGGTTGAGACTAGTATGATAGTGGGCACGTCTATTTATATAAATTTATGGGGTACAAGTGTAATTTTATTACATAAATATATTGTGCAGTAGTAAAGTCAGGGCCTTTTGCATATCTACCACCACCAGAACAATGTACATTGTACCCATTAAGGAATTTCTCATCATCCCCCCACTTGACCCCCACCCTTCCAGTCTCCATTTTCTACCTTTCCACACTATGTCCATGTGTACACATTATTCAGCTCCCACTTATAAGTGAGAACATGCAGTATTTATATTTCTGTGTCTGAGTTGTTTCACTTAAGACAATGGCCTACAGTTCCATCCATGTTGCTGCAAAAGACATTAATTCATTCTTTTTTATGGCTGAATGTATTCCATTGTATATATATACAATAGTCTTGTATACTGACTATACAAGGGAGAGTCTTGAGAAATGATTCTACTTAAGATAGAACTGACAGGATTTGTTCCTGGATTGGATACTAGACAGCCTGAAAAGAGAATAAGATAATTTTTAGGGTTTTGTATGACTAACTGAACACATTACTGTATTGTTGACTGAGGTGAAAAAGACTGAGGGAAAATCCATTGTGGGTAGGTTGGAGAAAGTAAAATTTATATTTTGGACCTTTAATGTCTGTTTGAAATGTTTTATAAACTTCTAGGAAGGAATATCATGCAGTCTTTGTATAAATGATCTGGAGCAAAAGGGAAAGGTCTAACTTGAATATATTAATTTGGAAGTCACCAGCATATAAAGATGACATTTAAAAAACCATACTGAATAAGACCATTTAGGAAAAGAATATAAATACATAAGAGAAGAGGCCTGAAGACTGGTTCCTAGGAAATTCCAACACTTAGCAGCTGGGAAGAAGAGGAATTAGCAAAGGAGACTAAGAAGTACTGGCCATTAAGATATCAAAAAATATAAAAAGAAAAAAATGTCCTTAAGACATAGTTGTACATTTAGCAAACAGATGTGATAGAAACCCATTCTGTATATCATAAGTAAAACTACCAGATCCAGTATTTTAAAACATCTTCTATATACACAGTTGAGCCTGATGAAACATAAAGGGATTTCAGAAAATCTGTATTGGATAGGAAAAGTCAAGTTCGTAAGGGTAACTGAATGATAAAGCCAGTGACTTCCTTGGGTCAATCCTAGAGATTTAACTGCTTAGGACAGAACAGAAGAAAATAGCTGGGATCAAAAGCATATAAAGAAGCATGAGGTGTAATACAAACAATAGATAAAGTGGCGGGTACACATGCCTGTCTCCCTATCTTGCCTTCACATAGAAGAAAAAGGAAAAAAAAAAAGTGATGAATAATTGGATTGGCTCTCTCAACATTCAGTTTACTCCCCTTCTATTGGAGAAGTTTACTCTCCTTCTATTCTCTATTGGAGAATCTAAAAGCTCAATTTTTAGATTCTCTGGAAGCCATGGTCCTGTGTGTCAATTTATACCAGGTATAGAAGGCAGAAATGAAGCACTCTTCCTGTGGCAGATGCAACGTTCACACAAGCACCAGGAATATTTGCAGCAACTGCAGTCCATGTTTAAATGTCTAGAAACTAGCTTCTTGAGGATAAGGTATCTGTAGCAGCCCAGTGGTGGGGCAATAACAAAAGTTATTCAGGACCTCTGTATCGTAACCATGATGGGGTGATTTTGAAAGTCTAGGCATGCCCCCTGATTTCCACTTCTTCGGCACTTCCAATAATTTTCTGAGCACCTAGTTCCATTTATTATATTCTTTACTGCTTGAAATACAAAGTATTTCCTATTTCCTCTACTAAACCCTGACTGTTAAAAACTGCTTTAGAAATACCTATTTATATTACGCATACCTTATGGTTGGCAGCTGGACTTCGCAACATCTGTGCATCCAAAAACACAAGCCAAAGAAGTTTTAAGATTACCCAGTTAATCATGACCTCCTCCAGTGAAGAAAAGGAGTAACACAAAATGTATCTCTTGAGAACTCACTTCAACTTCAGGCCTCAAATAAATCCACAAAAATGTTCAACTAACTCACAATTAAAAATCTCTAAAGAAACAATCAAATCAATGACTGTGAGTGATAGCCAGCAAAAAAACAAAAGTGAACAAAAGGTTCCAGTATCAAAATAAGAAAGAATGTTAATAATGGTTTCATCAGATAAGATCATATAGTAAGCACATTTAATAAGTTTAAAGAAGAAAAATGAGGAAATTGAAATATGACTAAAAAATAGTATACTATCAAAATTTACCAGGAATAATTGAAACTGAATAAGAGGGAGAACTTCTAGTAATGAAAAATGTTATAATTAGAAACTGTAGTTTAATTAAATAGTATAATACATATAACAAAATAGAAAATTAATAATCTATATTGTAAAATTTAAGAAATTACCTAGAAAACAACAGAGGGAGATAAGAAATGAAAAATATGAAAAACAGGTTAAGAGATGTACAGCTAGAAAGAATAGTCTATCATAGAACCAACTGCATTTCCAGAATTAGAGCAGAGTGAATGAGTCAGAACCAATATGAAAAAGATAATGATTGAGAAACTTTTAGAATTAGTAAAACATGCAAGTCCTCAGAATTAGAAATCTTAATAAGTTCCATGTAGGAAGAAAGAAGACACATTTTAAAATATTATGGTCGAAACCAATAAGAACAAAGACATAACATACCAGAATCTCTGGGACACACTTAAAGCAGTGTGTAGAAGGAAATTTATAGCACTCAATGCCCATAAGAGAAAGCAGGAAAGAACTAAAATTGACACCCTAACATCACAATTAAAAGAACTAGAGAAGCAAGAGCAAACACATTCAAAAGTTAGCAGAAGGCAAGAAATAACTAAGATCGGAGCAGAACTGAAGGAGATAGAGACACAAAAAACCCTTCAAAAAATCAATGAATCCAGAAGCTGGTTTTTTGAAAAGATCAACAAAATTGATAGACCGCTAGCAAGACTAATAAAGAAGAAAAGAGAGAAGAATCAAATAGACACAATAAAAAACGATAAAGGGGATATCACCACCAATCCCACAGACATACAAACTACCACCAGAGAATACTATAAACACCTCTACGCAAGTAAACTAGAAAATCTAGAAGACATAGATAAATTCCTGGAAACATACACCCTCCCAAGACTAAACCAGGAAGAAGTTGAATCTCTGAATAGACCAATAACAGACTCTGAAATTGAGGCAATAATTAATAGCCTACCAACCAAAAAAAGTCCAGGACCAGACAGATTCACAGCCGAATGCTACCAGAGGTACAAAGAGGAGCTGGTACCATTCCTTCTGAAAATGTTCCAATCAATAGAAAAAGAGGGAATCCTCCCTAACTCATTTTATGAGGCCAGCATCATCCTGATACCAAAGGCTGGCAGAGACTCAACAAAAAAAGAGACTTTTAGACCAATATCCCTGATGAACATCGATTTGAAAATCCTCAATAAAATACTGGCAAACTG
The DNA here is from genome assembly GCF_000001405.40 of Homo sapiens. Taxonomy (NCBI): domain Eukaryota; kingdom Metazoa; phylum Chordata; class Mammalia; order Primates; family Hominidae; genus Homo; species Homo sapiens. The sequence continues at coordinate 93,324,429 of NC_000004.12, read as the reverse complement.
AATCCAGCAGCATATCCACCACAATGAAGTTGGCTTCATCCCTGCGATGCAAGGCTAGTTCAACACACTCAAATCAATAAACATAATCCATCATATAAACAGAACGAAAGACAAAAACCACATGATTATCTCCACAGATGCAGAAAAGGCCTTCAACAAAATTCAAGAGCCCTTCATGCTAAAAACTCTCAATAAACTAGTTATTGATGGGATGTATATAAAAATAATAAGAGCTATTTATGACAAACCCACAGACAATATCATACTGAATGGACAAAAACTGGAAGCACTCTCTTTGAAAACTGGCACAAGACAGGGATGCCCTCTCTCACCACTCCTGTTCAACATAGTGTTGGAAGTTCTGGCCAGGGCAATTAGGCAGGAGAAAGAAATACAGGGTACTCAATCAGGAAAAGAGGAAGTCAAATTGTCCCTGTTTGCAGATGACATGATTGTACATTTAGAAAACCCCATCGTCTCAGCCCAAAATCTCCTTAAGCTGATAAGCAACTTCAGCAAAGTCTCAGGATACAAAATCATTGTGCAAAAATCCCAAGCATTCTTATACACCAGTAACAGACAAACAGAGAGCCAAATCATGAGTGAACTCCCTTTCACAATTGCTTCAAAGAGAATAAAATACCTAGGAATCCAACTTATAAGGGTTGTGAAGGACCTCTTCAAGGAGAACTACAAACCACTGCTCAATGAAATGAAAGAGGACACAAACAAATGGAAGAACATTCCATGCTCATGGACACGAAGAATCAATATCATGAAAATGGCCATAGTGCCCAAGGAAATTTATACATTAAATGCCATCCCAATCAAGCTACCAATGACTTTCTTCACAGAATTAGAAAAAACTACTTTAAAGTTCATATGGAATCAAAAAAGGGCCTGCATAGCCAAGACAATCCTAATTCAAACGAACAAAGCTGGAGGCATCACACTACCTGACTTCAAACTATACTACAAGGCTACAGTAACCAAAACAGCATGGTACTGGTACCAAAACAGAGATATAGACCAATGGAACAGAACAGAGCCCTCAGAAATAATACCACACATCTACAACCAGCTGATCTTTGACAAACCTGACAAAAATAAAAAATGGGGAAAGGATTCCCTATTTAATAAATGGTGCTGGGAAAACTGGCTAGCCATATGTAGAAAGCTGAAACTGGATCCCTTCCTTACACCTTATACGATAATTAATTCAAGATGGATCAAAGACTTAAATGTTAGACCTAAAACCATAAAAACCCTAGAAGAAAACCTAGGCAATACCATTCAGGACAGAAGCATGGGCAAGGACTTCCTGACGAAAACACCAAAAGCAATGGCAACAAAAGCCAAAATTGACAAAAGTGATCTAATTAAACTAAAGAGCTCCTGCGCAGCAAAAGAAACTACCATCAGAGTGAACAGGCAACCTACAGAATAGGAGAAAATTTTTGCAGTCTACTCATCTGACAAAGGGCTTATATCCAGAATCTACAAAGAACTCAAACAAATTTACAATAAAAAAACAAACAACCCCATTAAAAAGTGGGCAAAAGATATGAACAGACACTTCTCAAAAGAAGACATTTATGCAGCCAAAAAACACATGAAAAAATGCTCATCATCACTGCCCATCAGAGAAATGCAAATCAAAACCACAATGAGATACCATCTCACACCAGTTAGAATGGCCATCATTAAAAAGTCAGGAAACAACAGGTACTGGAGAGGATGTGGAGAAATAGGAACACTTTTCACTGTTAGTGGGACTCTAAACTAGTTCAACCATTGTGGAAGACAATGTGGCGATTCCTCAGGGATCTAGAACTAGAATTACCATTTGACCCAGCCATCCCATTACTGGGTATATACCCAAAGGATTATAAATCATGCTGCTATAAACACACATGCACATGTATGTCTATTGCGGCACTGTTCACAATACCAAAGACTTGGAACCAATCCAAATGTCCATCAATGATAGACTGGATTAAGAAAATGTGGCACATATACACCATGGAATACTATGCAGCCATAAAAAATGATGAGTTCATGTCCTTTGTAAGGACATGGATGAAGCTGGAAACCATCATTCTCAGCAAACTATTGCAAGGACAGAAAACCAAACACCACATGTTCTCACTCATAGGTGGGAATTCAACAATGAGAACAGTTGGACACAGGAAGGGGAACATCACACACTGGGGCCTGTTGTTGGGTGGGGGAAGCGGGGAGGGATAGCATTAGGAGATAAACCTAATGTAAATGATAGGTTAATGAGTGCAGCACACCAACATGGCACATGTGTACATATGTAACAAACCTGCATGTTGTGCACTTGTACCCTAGAACTTAATGTATAATAATAAAAAAAAGAAAAAAAAAGAAATAAGAAAAAATATCCCAGAAAATGCAGGAAGAAAGATTGTTTAATTAAAAATATTAAACTTATGGATAAATCTAAAGAAAGTATTGATTATATAAAAATAATATTTAAGTAAAAATTAAAATAAATCACTGAATAGAAATTATAAGTAACAACGCTTTAATTGGAATTAAAATATTCTAGGTCCCTGTATTGTTTGGGAGGAGGGTAAAGATGTCAATTGTAGAACTGAGTTAATCACAAATGTGAAATTTCTGATATCTAAAAGCATAGAAAGAATCTGTCACTTCCATCTGAAAGATATTTAGAATGAGGAAAATGAAAACCTAGAGAATATAATATCCCAGAAGTGAATAAAAAAAGTATTTCAAAGAAAAAAAAACTGACAACTGTGTGAGGTAAGAATATATTAGGTTTAAAAAGTTTCAACTATTGGCAATCTTTTCAAAAATAGGGCTGAATCTAAAATGACACATGAAATCATGAAATCGTGTATTTTTAAAATTTGTTTTGTTTTTATGCAAATACATCAAACTCTACTTATCAACGATTGTACACATCCTCTTCCCTAAAAATATCCTTCTTTCCATATTTCTTATCTCATTAAATTATACCATCACCTGTATAACTAGTTGCTAACTAGTTTCAAACATATTTTGAAAATAGGATCCTTGGTAAAATATTTTGAACAAATTTGTAGATATCAGGCTTTTTTTTATAATTAGGGAAATACATTTAAAAGCAAATGCATCCTGTATGTTTACCAGCTAGAAGTAGACATTTGTAGTGGGCTCTGTGATGTGCAGTCCTGACCACCCCTTCTCAGGATTAAAAATCTTATTCTCCCAGCTGCCAAGAATTCCGTGTGACGATGGCTCTCAGTGGACATTCTCCATTGTGGATGGCTTCAGGTGAGGAAAACTGCTTTTTTCAAGGAGAGTTTACCTTCAATTATAGATCACAGTAGGAATATAAGGCCACATCAGCTTGCCCAATTTGGGGCAACTATGAAGGGTGACATCTATCTTTGGAGTGCTCCACAGCTCTTTCTGCAAAATCATCTTTCCTTCCTTCCATGTGGATATCAAGAGAACATTCTAATAAATATCTTATATATTAATATATATCTCAGAGTCTGCTTCTAGGGAAATCAAACTTGGGACATTATTAAAATATCACAGATATATACATTTAAACAGTTTGCATGAGATTAAAAACTATATTAATGAAATAATATGGCATAAATTTCCATTACAATAGGAATCATGTTTGGCACCTTCTATTGTTTGACTTTTATAATATTCTTCATTTTTTTGCTGTAAAAAAACCCAGCAATATTATAATTCAGCTATGGTTGACTCATGTCTTCCTCTTACATTGAGAAAGAAGAAATAAAGAAAGGGAGGGAGGGAGAGAGGCTGTACCTTCTAGCATAGCTTTAGTCCATAGATAGTCCTTAGATATCTGTGAATTCCAGAATTCCCACTAGTGGACCTCAACCTTGGCTGCACCTCAAAAATCACTTACAGAAGTTTAAAAAAATGTAGATGCTGTCACATATGCCAGAATTTCTGATTCAGTTTTTCTGAAGTGCTATTCTGGTGTTCATTTTCTAAAATGTCCTCATGGGTTAAAATTCCTCAAAGTGTTGAGAATCACTTATTGACACAGAATTTTAGATCTTCATCAATTTACCAACCTCAGCTCTTTGACCTTATCTTTTATGACTCTCTAATGCAATCTTGCCTGTCTTCTTATATTTCCGTTAGTAAGGTTTCTTTTTTATGCCAATAATCATCGCTGACATGATTACCTGTCCACCCCTTATCCTCCACTTACTTCATGTTCCTTACTCCAATTGTCTTCTTCTAACAATTGATTTAAGACTTAATGTTCTTTAAAAGCCTTTCTTTCGCTTTATTCCATACAGATCCTTTTGTTTGTTCAGATGCTTGTAGTGCCAAAGTTTATTTAAGGCACCTCCTTATAGATAGTTATATTAGATTTTTATTGCTGTATAACAAATTGCCACACACTTAGCAGCTTATAACAATACCGATTTGTTATCTCACAGTTCTATAGGTCAAAAGTCTGGGCAGCCTGGATGGTTTGCTTAGGGACTCACAAAACTGAAATTAAGGTATTGGGTAGGCTGGACTCTTATCTGGTATTCTAAGAAATAATCCACTTCCAAACTTATTCTAACGGTTGGCAAAATTCTGTTATTTTCAGTTGTAGGACTGAGGCCATGTTTTCCTTGATGAATTTCAGTCAGTAGTTGGTCTGGCTCTCCTAGCGCCTTTCCTGGAGGCTGCTCTCAGGTCCTTCCCACATGCAATGCATGCCTCTTTTGCACTGAGTCTTTCTAATGCTTCGAGTCTCTCTGATTTCCTCCTCTACTAGTCAGAGAAAATTCTCTGCTTTTAAAAGACCCATATGGTAGGTCAAGCCCACCTGTGTGATCTTCCTATTTTAAAGTCACCTAATTAGTAACCTTAATTGCATCTGTAAAATCCCTTTTGCCATGAATATAACATATTAATGGGGGAAAAAAAACAAAGGTGAGTGTCATGGAGGTCATCTTAGAATTCTCCCTACCAAAACAGTTTACAATTTTACTATTAATATTTTTAATGTGTCCATTTGAGTTCCTGAGCTAAATTAAGAAATTGACAAGGGACAGTAGCCTCTATTTTCTTATGAAATAAAACGTAAGAGTAGTCTCTAACATCTCTGCACCCAAATTCTTATCTACTGAGTCACTAATTTATGAAAAACAACATATTGAATGGCTCTGTGTTTAAGGTCAATAAGATCTTTGCTCATTACATGTGTGTGTGTACATTTTGAATGGCTAGCATTCATTTTCCCCTTCCTGAAAGTACCCATGTTCTTTTGGGGAGATACTAAGTAGTGTGCTGTAATCAGCTTGTTCCAGCTCACAAGAACCAATGATTAGCATCCCTACCCAACTCCACATACTGTCACACTGGTAGCTTAAAATTACTATTACGATTGGAGTATTTACATGATGGAAATCTGTAAATCCAAAACAAAACAAACAGGGTTTTTTGGGGGTGGGAGAGAACGAGTTGTTCAACATATTTATCAGCATATTACTAAAAATAAATTTTGCCTAATTTTTTATATCTTGCTTGTCAGAATAGTAAATCCAGGTGGCTGCCTGTGGATATCTCATCTCATGCTGTGACTCCAGCCATGCCTTGCCCCTCACCAGCTCTGACACCAGCAGAAGGAGGAGATATGGCATAAGCCTGGACAACAGATGCTTCTCTAAGATGTGGACTCTTGAATGAGAAACACAAGGATAGAAGGAATGGTTGAAACATACTTTAAATGGATGAGTGGTATGCTCTTGAATTATATCTCAATAAAGCTGTTTTTTTTAAAAAAAGATACTATGTGATCATTCCTGCCATCCCTGCTTCCTAGTCTTCCAGAGCAGTTATGCTCCCTTTGGCTTTCGAGGTTTAATTCTTGAGACTCCTCTTAATGAGTCCAGCATACATTCAGCAAATTACTTTTTGCTTTAAGTAGCCTAAATCTTTATCTTGTGGCTTGCAAGTTAGAAACTAACTATATAATATCAATTTCAAGTCTACATTAATAACAATGAAAACAATGGCTTCTTTGGAAGTGACCTATTTTCAACATAATCTAACATTAATTCACAAACTGGTGGCATATATTTGATTATCTATCATTATTCCATAATTCATTTCTGTAAGGTTATGTTCATTATTATTATATTTTTCCAGGTCATCATGTATTTTAGAATGATACTAGTTAAATTCTCTGAAAGCTAATTATTCAACTCCTTACTAAAAAAATTCACACATCATTTAAATCACTTGAGTCATTGGAAAGTTTACAAGGCTAACAGAAAAATAATATATGAAATCATGTAAAATTATAAATTATATTGTTTCTATTAACTTGATGTTTCCCAGTCTCAGGTTAGATGCTCTTCACCAACTGCTTGAAGAAAGTAGTAATATATATATATATATATATATATATATATATATATTTCACTTTTAAAGGGAAAGATAAAACTGATTTACTGCTGAGAATTTAAAATGGAATTTTGAAATCCCATTCTTCCAATTGTTTAAATATATATTTATTTAGTGAGAGAAAATTGTGCACTTAACATCAATGCAGGAAACAGACACATAACCTCTCTTCACTACTTAAAGAGATAAAATAAGAAGGTGATTGACACACCAGCAATAAATGCCACCCAGAGGGTATACTCCCTATATGAAGAGATGACTCACAGGAAATATAATTCTGCTCACTCGCAAAGAAAATAAATTGGAATGTGATTCAAAATGTGTAGACATTCATATTCTTCAACTGATGTGATTTTAAAATAACAACAGGAAATTAAATGCAGCATTGCAGTTTGGGGATAAATTTCTGAAAGAAACTCTATTTAATAGATAGAGAAATTTCTCCAAATTTCAGTATTATTAGAATTGTGGCAGACAATTCAAATTTTATGTGGCACAAAATCATAACGTTCTCTTCTATAAGCTGTCCCTTGTCTGTTTGTTTTTTAAACAGCTGTCGACTTGTTCTGTATCATCAATTCTGGTAGTTCAGGATTAATTTTCACTATTATCAGTGGCAGAGCATGATGGTACAATAAGCCAAAATGACTAAAAGCATTTCAAGGAAAAAAAAAAAACCTGAGGAGAATGGAAGAGAATCTCTATACGCAAGCTAATCCCTTATGAACAGCAGATTTGGAAACTGCCTGCAGGTAATTACATTCAGGTAACCCGATCTGAAAATGCCAAGTTCACACAATGGTTCATTTAATTCCATCTGGTGTGCAATAATACATTCTTTAATGGACACATTGATTTAAAAGAAAAAAATCACCTCAGATATAAAAAGCCCACATTCGGTAATTAAAAAATATTACATCAAAAATTAGAATCTCAAAAATGATCCTGCAATGCTTAACCTATAAAAAAGGAAATTAAGGTAATGAGCTTTAGACTTCTCATACCTAAATCCCTTCTTAGTTATGGTCTGGTTTCTTAGTAAGGAATGCATATGTTAATATGAAGAATTGAGTCAGGACTTCTGATACCTTGGGAGGAAAAAATAAATTGATTAAGAACATATTTAAATCATTAAATGTACTCAGAAATAGTTTGAAAGGAAACATTGGCTCTTGGAATGGTGCCACCTGTCATCAGGATAGAAATGGTGCAAATACATATATGTATTTAACACAGCCCACTGTTGCTCTCCTTTCAAATCTGAAATACAGCCAAGTAACTTGGTTCTCTAAACTAATGAATCACATGTGACCAAAATCACCTTGATGGATAATTTGGGAGAAAAAAGCCGTGTATTTGTCCTTTTAAGGAATGTGAATTCTGCCTTTAAATGCTTTTTCCATCAGAGCTCTAAGCACATGCCTACTTAATCCTCCTTTTTAATTCTCTCTTCTTTCACTGAAAGGAGCAGGGTAAAATGAACCTCCTGTTTGGGTAATTCTTTTTCCCTGTGGTTGATATGTGTGTTTCCCATTTCCTAATACACTGATGACAACAAAAGGCTTTTTTCTTTCTTCTTTCATTCTTTTCTTCTCCTTCCTTCCTTCCTTTTCTATTCTTTCTTTCTTTCTTTTTCTTTTCCTTCCTTCCTTCCTTCCTTCTTTCTTTCTTTCTTTCTTTCTTTCTTTCTTTCTTTCTTTCTTTCTTTCGTTCTTTCGTTCTTTTCTTTCTTTCTCTTTCTTTCTTTTTTTTCTTGCCTTGTTGAAATGCAACAAGCCAGGCTGGACCTACTACAACTGTAAAAAGGGAATGGCTTTTTCTTTCTGTTCCACCTCCCCTTTTTGAGATTATTTTCCCCAACTATGTTCTTTCCAGCTTCCAAAACCAAAGTCAACACCTAGCCCTCTCTCCTTCCTTTTGGATGTGCCCTGGAATCACCCAGGTATGCCTCCACCACACTCCAGCAGCAAACTTTTTCTCAAGTCTCCTCATCAAAAACTACATTCTTAGTTTGATTATCTCAGATCCTTGCTCTCTTTAATACAAATTAGGTAATTTGATAAATTCAATATGCAAGTAGTTACTAGTGGGTATGTCAATGGGTTATTTCACTTATCAAAATGCATTACTTTAAGGACCTCCTGGTGTCAGTGCCTGAACCTAAAGTAGGAACTCTGTTAATAGGAAATTAAGTTACTATAATAAATCAATTCTTTTTAACACTTAGTATAGGAGAGTATGTAACTAGTGCATTTCAGGGTAATGAGATAAAAAGATAGTTCATAGTTTTCATTAATTCATTCATTCCATAAATATTTATTAAGTGCCTACAATGTGTCAGGCAGAGTTTTCACCACTTGGGATTCAACAGTGAACAAAGAAGACAAAGATTCCTACGAAGAGAGATTACATGGTGGAGGTGGTGTCTCATGCAGGAAATGAGACAAACAATAATAAACATAATAAACATGGAAATTTTATTTTATGTTAGATTGTGATAAGTGCTACAAAAAATATTAACTCAGATTAAAGAAGAATTAGGAGGGGGACACTCCTAGAAACAGAATAGAATGGTGGTTGCCAGGGGACAGTGGGTAGGGAAATGGGGAGATGCTGGTCGAAGCATATAAACTTTCCATTATAAAATGTGTTTATATATAATGCTGTACATTAGATCCCCATAGCTTATGATATTGCTTTGTGTCTCCACCCAAATCTCATCCCCATGTGTGAAGCGAGGGACCTGTAATCCACATGTGTGGAGGGAGAAAAGTGATTGGATTATGGATTATGGGGGCAGTTTCCCCTCATGCTGTTCTTGTGATGGTGAGTGAATTCTCAAAAGATCTGATGGTTTTGTAAATGGTAGTTTTTCCTGCATACTTACATGCTCTCTCTTACATGCCACCATGTAAGACACTCCTGCTTCCCCTTCTGCCATCATTGTAAGTTTCCTGAGGCCTCCCCAGCCAGGCAAAACGGTGAGTCAATTAAACCTCTTTTCTTTATAAATTACCCAGTCTCAGGAAGTTTTTTATAGCAGCAAGAAAACAGACTAATACAGTGACTATTGTTAATAACACTCCTATAGACTTGAAATCTGGTAAGGGAGTAGATATTATATTAAATATCCTGTCATAAAACCAAAAAAACAAAAAATGGCAAATAGGTGAGATGATAGATGTGTTAACTAACTTGATTGTGGTAATCATATCACAATATATATCTATGTGTGATGTAGTGTGTGTGTGTGTGTGTGAAATCATCGTGTTGTACATCTTAAACTTATAAAAATTATTTGGCAATTATATCTCAATAAAATTGCATGAAAGGAAAAGAAAAAATAAAGGAGGAGAGGGGTAGTTGTACTATTCAATAATACAATCGGGGCAGGCTTATTAATAAGATAAACTTCAAGGAAACAACGAAAGAGCTAACAGAGTTAGCCAGGCTATTTTGCCTGGGAGAACATTTCAGGCAAAGGTCTTTAGATGAAATTGTAAAGAGAATGTTCCAGTGAACAGCAAAGTAGCTTCTACCTGCAGTAGAGTGATCCAGGAATGGAATACAATGTGTAGGAAATTCATTGTGAAAGGGAGCAGAGAGTACTTATGATGTTGGGTCTTGTAGGACATTGGAAGAATGTGTTTTTTTCATTCTTCTTCTTCTTCTTTTTTTTTTTTTTTTTTTTTTTTTTGAGACAGACTCTCACGATGTCACCCAGGCTGGAATGCGGTGTACGATCTTGGCTCACTGCAACCTCCACCTCCCAGGTTCTAGCAATTATCCTGCCTCAGCCTCCTGAGTAGCTGGGACTACAGGCACATGCCATCATGCCTGGCTAATTTTTGTATTTTTAGTAGGGATGGGGTTTCACTATGTTGGCCAGGCTTGTCTTGAACTTCTGACCTCAGGTGATCCGCCCGCCTTGGCCTCCCAAATTGCTGGGATTACAGGCGTGAGCCATTGTGCCTGGCCAATGTCTTCATTCTTATACAATAGTTCCAAGATATAATACTGTGTGATAGCCTAGTGGGACTCATATTTTGAGTCAGGTAGACTTTTTACACATGCTAGCTGCTTATGTGTAGGGCTGATTTTGCACAATCTGTGCATCAACTCAAAGAACCATTACAGTCACAGCTTATTTGACTGTAGGAATTCTAAACCAACCCCCTTATGAAAACTGCAAGAACTTAATCTGTTTTTGCTTTAAAGTTTCCTCTCGCTCTTTGCATAATAGCTTTGAGGATATCTAGTGGCATCTCATAACTGATTATCATATTACTTTAAAAATGTTTCTTCACAGTGAATTTAATGTTGAAGGCATACTCCATACTAGTACTTAGCATAAAACAATATTTGAGTCAGAGCTCATCCTAAGAATGGAAGTATGTTTGAATATAATTGTAATGTGTTGGAAGTCTCTGATTCCTTTCCTCTGGTTAATAAAAGAGTAAGTTTCACATAGTAAGAGAGACTTAGAGCTGTTGTTAACAATGAACTATATCCTCTCCTTTAGAACCCAGAAGGCACTAGGTAAGTATCCTTGTGGATGTATAGAAAAGACACACTTAGTCATTTCAACTGGCATTATTCCAGGAAGTTTTGTTCTGTGGCAGACTGCTGTGAAGAGGGAATGGTGATTGTTACTTCAAGTCATTCCTCTGCAGAAGGACCCATTTGAAAGCATGACTACTGAAGGAGAAAAGAGTCACAGCTCTAGAGTGGCAGTTCTCTCTGCTCCCTTATGTCCCTTTTGAAAGCTGTATAGTTCTGAAATCTGCAGAATACAAGGCATTTCAGATTATGTCAATGTCCCTTTTTCCTGCAGATTTTTTTCCTATTTGCCTGTTTCCAAACAGCCTTATGTGAAAAAAAAAAGTGGTATATAACTGATGGAGAAATATAACTTTAAGACAAAAATCTGGACTTTTCTCAATAAATGATAAGCCATAGTGTATCTTAGTAGCTAAGCATAAGTTCATATCCTGCTGCAATTTCTTTTTCCATGTCTGAGCTATAAAATACGTTTGAAAAATTCCTATGAAACTCCATATTTGAGCATTTGTCTTTGGCATATATTCTTTTATATAAATTATAGTTATTAATGAAACTTCCATGCCTCCCTATACACTTGGGGCTTCAAACGCATATTTAAATATTAACAACGCTCTGATTAAGGTGCAGAAACATGGGTAGTGAACTAATGGAAACACTTTGCTCTTGTTTTGCTTTTATATTATATTCATCAAAATTCCAATTAGCAACATGAGAATGCAGCATGACTTCCTATGTGTATTCTAGTTCACTTATAACTCCTTCCGTTTAAGGGGTTTGGGGAAAAGAAATATTTTTAGCATTGAAATGGAAGCAGGTTTTGAAATAGTCATTTCAGGTGAATTTTAAAGTGACTACTTCCTTGATGGGTTGAAATTTTACTTCCCTACCCTCAACTTCCGCATTTACAATTAATCAAACAATTGATGTTTTTCTTTTGTTTGTTTGTTTCAGGCTTGTACCTGCTAGTTCACTTGAATGCTTCATTGCACTAATGAGCTCCAGGTCAAAAGTTTTTGTCCCTGTATATGCCAGCTATGTCTGGAGGAAATTTAGTACAGAGACTTCAAAACACAATCCAATTTTCAGCCAAATACTTGCATTAGAAGGCAGCGTAACTCTTCGCCTTGGAGTATTACAGAAAAACTCAAACTTAATCTGCATTCATACTAATTATGCAATGATAGGATATTTATATACTTATTCACATTTTTCCCAACATATTGGCCTTCTATGAGTTAACTTCTGTAAGTTCCTTAGGGCCATGGTCTGTGCCTGCTGTTTGCTGATTATAGTAAATGAAAGAATCAATAGACACAAGGAAGGAAGGAAGAAATCACAGAGGATGAAAGGGTGTATTTACCTTTTTCTTATAAAATTATGGAGTGATAATGGAAGCAGAGAATATACATATATTCAAATCTCTCCTGCCTAAAAATTTTACTTCTCACATTTCTACATTATGAATTTATCTTTTTCTTCTCTTTCTCATCCCAAATTATTGAACTACCTTCATTTTTTATCCATTCACTACTTTTCAACCTTCTCTGTTTTTTGCCTCAATAACATCACCAAAACCGCTCACGCTAAGATTAATAATGACCTTGAAGTTACTAAATGAATATTTCAAAGTCCTCATATGATTTTAACACAAAGCATCATTTGGCCTTGTTGATCACTCTTTGCTTCTTGAAGTACCCTCCTTACCCTCTCCTGTTCATCCTCATACATTTCTAACCACTTTACAATCTCCACTGAATGCTCGTCTGCCAACAATAACCTGTTAAATGTTGAGGTTTCTCAATACTCTGTGCTAATCTATTTCTTTTCTCATTGATGCTCTCTCCCAGTAACCAGTACAGCCAATTTGCTAGCTTGCTTTAAAAAGTAATCCCTGCCTCATTTTTTTTCTTGCTATACATATATCTAACTACGTGTTTGCTTGAGAATTCCAAAGGCTAATCTTAAAGCAACTCAGGCGTAAAGTGGAGATGGCAGTTAAAGTTTTCTCCCTTCTGAGAAGAAATTGGTGCACAGTTAATCCATACCCTGACCTAAGCAAGTTGACACCAAGGCCTCCAGATGGTTCATTATTCAAGACAGCCACTGGAAAATGACAAGCAGACCTGCAACCTACATCACTCCTGCACATAGTTTCCATGCCGCCTTCCTCTTCAAACCCCATTAGCCAGCCTGAGAATTTGAGATGGCTTTTTGAGACCTGACTCCAGCTGTCTCTTCAGCTGCTAGCACTTCAATAAACCTCTTTCTTCCCACCAACTCTTGATTCTTGTGTCTGGCTTTTCAAGTGGGGAGCAGCCGTACAGGAATTCAGTTCCATCCCTTGGCAATCTTGAACAGAACCATCTCCAGATCTTTATGATAATCTATATAGTGATTACTCCTAAATTTTATACTAACCCTCTGAGTTCCAATTGTTTATTCAACATGTGCATGTGGAGGTCTCAAAAGCTACCTCTGAGAACTGGGACCACAGTTGTCTTGTTTGTTCCAGTAAACCTATACACAGAAAAGATAAGACTGTAATCCTATAAATAACTCTACTGTTTGCTTCAGGAAATTCTTGCAGATCAATTTAGAGACAACAGTCTGCTCACCTGAAAAAGTCTGCCTTGAAAAATCCACCTTAAACTCCTGGATCCCAGACCCCAAAATTTAATAAAATCTCATTTCTGACTTTCCCTTTTTGAGACAATAAAACTCTTTCCAGTAGTTTCTGAATGCAATTAGGTTCCAATACATTTAGCATTGCTTTATTAACAGGTTGTTCTTTTGTAATCTGGGGAATTCAACACTTTCAACTCAATTTGTCAAACAGATTTAAGGATTTTCCACACAAACCTGCTCATCTTTCTGTGTTCTCAATTTTATTTTATTTTATTTTATTTTTGAGATGGAGTCTCGTTCTGCGCCCAGGCTGGAGTGCAGTGGCACAATCTTAGTTCACTGCAACCTCCATCTCCCGGGTTCAAGCGATTCTCCTGCCTCAGCCTCCCAAGTAGCTGGGACTACAGGAGTGCGCCACCAAACCTGGTTAACTTTTTGTGTGTGTGTTTGTTTTTAGTAGAGACAGAGTTTTACCATGTTGGCCAAGCTGGCCTCAAACTCCTGACCTCAAGTGATCTGCCTGCCTCCACCTCCCAAAGTGCTGGGATTACAGGAGTGAGCCACTGTGCCCGGCTCAGTGTTCTCAATATTAATAAACCATAAAAACATTTGACTTTGGAAACCAAAAACTTATAGGTCTTTACTTATCTATTTTTGCATCTACTAAATAGTATTGCTTTGCATGTCTAGTAAATATCTGTGGAATAAACAAACAAGATAAAACTGATAATGCTTGTTGTATCAAAATCTCTCATTACCCCCTTCTAGTGGAATATCAGGGGAGCCAGAAGAAGAGGTATCAGTGGAGAGCTGTGTCCCACCCCACCTACACAAGGCAGTAAGCATATATACACCCTGCACAATATGTATAAACAATTAATAAAGCAAAGCCCATCAATTTTATCATTATCATTACACCACAATAATTGTACATAATTTTAATAATAAATTCTCTTCCTCATAAGGGGAATAGGTCTCATGCCCTCTTCCTGCACTTAACTTTGCCATTGTTGAATTTTATGTCAAGGAGATTGTTTATTGAATCTTTAAAACTGCTACTCCCACCATTGGGAAAGCTGCCAGTAGGTAGCACTAGATTTTCTTGATCCCTTTACTCATTTCAAAAGCTAGTGCTTTATTCTAGAATTGATAGACAGCTTTTATTCTTTGGAAGAGAAGTATAAAACCTCAGGATTCTCTTTGCAGCAGACTCTCCAGTTTCATTCATTAATTCTTCTTCTTTTTTATTTATTATTATTATTATTATTATTTTTTGAGACAAGGTCTTGCTCTGTCACCAAGGCTGGAGTGCAGTGGCTCTGTCTTGGCTCAGCCACTGCAACCTCTACCTCTCGGGTTCAAGCAATTCTCGTGTCTCAGCCTCCTGAGTAGCTGGGTCTACAGGCATGCTGACCATGCCTGGCTAATTTTTGTAATTTTAACAGAGACAGGGTTTCGCCATGTTGGCTAAGCTGGTCTGGAACTCTTAGCCTCAAGTGATCCACCTGCTTTGGCCTCCCAAAGTGTTGGGATTACAGGTGTGAGCCACCGCACCCTGCCTCATTCATTAATTCTTGAAAAAATGATTGAGCACAATTATATGCCAGGTCCTATTTTAGGAGGTGAGGAAACAACAGTGAACCTAAAGGAATACATATTTGCCTTCAAGGAGCTTGCAGTCTGATGTGAGATTCAGGAAACCAACATGATAAATATATAATGTATTATATACACTTACTGCTAGATAAAATATTTAGTATGTAAAAGTAAAAGAAAATAAAGCAGAGAAGGGGAGAGGAGGTGTCTATGTATGGAGGAGAGTTGAACATTTTAGATAGTGTGGCTGTTGGCTAAAAATCTGTTTGTAGCTTAGTAACCACTTATTTATTTCAGATACAAACTTACACCCACCCTCAAAATATTTCTTAAAGTTATAGTGATATCAAGTTTTCCTTCACAAGGAATATTTTATACTCTGTTGACTTCATTACATGATGTGATGAAGGAAGCAACACTTCAGTTGCTTAGAGTTGTGAGAACAATTTTTGGAAAAAGTCTTATTGCATTGGTGACAGCCATTTTGTGTACATTGTAAGAAATTCTAGTTTTCAGTAAATTCTCCAAAGGATTCACAGACTACTTATTCTATTTTTCTGTTTTTCCTTTCTTATTACTGCCTTTCTCCATTATGTAGAGTTATTCAATATTTTTTTTAGCCTGTTGAAACCCTTTACTAACATGTGGAAAAAAGAGACTTTTCCTTGCTTTCATTAAGTAAGCAGTGTTGAACCTGCAGCCGAAGCTCACTTCGACTGAGTTTACAATTTGTGTAACAAGGATCAGTGGCTTGTTCTTGAAGACGTTCAATCAGCTAGGATCAACACTCAGAAAAAACTGCTGTTTTATGAAGACCCTAATACTCACGGAAATGAATGTGAACTATGGAAACAGGAATAGAATTGATTTTGAACTGTAATAGATTCACAGGTCATGCTAGACACTTTCGAAACCACAAAACACAGCTTAGGTGAAACAATAAAAATAAGTTAAGATGGTCTTTGTCAAAGGACTCGACACTGAACCATCACTTCCGGCCAGATCTTCTTTCTAAAGGAAGGAAAGGGGGTATGCAGAGCAACTGAATTCCCTCCAATCATAGGAGCACTGAGGGTAGAAAGTCCATTTTTGTTATTATGGCTATTTACATTATTTTCTCTGATAGTAAGCTGTGAAATTTAGGAAGATTTTGCCTCTTCATGGATCAATTATTCATTGGCAGTACATAGATCCCTATGTTGAATTGATATCTACTTCACAGACCTGATGTCTAATATGAACAGGCCTCTGGTAATAAAAGTTTTTAAAAAAAAAAATCAGAAAGAAATTAATACAATAGGTATGTATTTGTGTTTGTAAAACTATCTCGAAAAAATTAAAAATGCAGCTAGAATTAAAAGTGGTAGTAAAGTCAAACAGTTTACCCCTTTCCTTGTGAATGCTGATTATTGTGTACACTTTAGGGAAATAAGAGTATAGAGAAAATGGTTTGGGTTAATAATAAGTTATGAAATATTTGGAATGGAATTATTGGCAATTTGGAAAGTTAATTATTATCATTAAATTTAAGTTATATTTCGGGTAAACTATGTTCCTTTTGAGAGGAGGGAGAATTAAAATTATTATTTGCAAAATATTTTCCATTCTCAGGTTAATATCTGGAGGTACTGATGGAAGAATCTGCATCAAGATCCCTGCATGGAGGAGTCTGGGAAGAATCATAGACAATGAAAGGTAAAAGTCAGTTCAAAGAGGGATTACTAAAAAAAATTTAAAAATAAACAAAGCTGTGAAGAGCTGTGAGCTACTATACATTCTAAGATTGTTTAGGTCAAACTGGTAAGAAAGGAAAAAAAAAATGACGAGAAAATTTAGAAGCTAAAGCCATTTGCTGCTTATTTTCCAGATTAAAAAAGAGCATTTAATGTCACTCATTAGTATTATTCCCTTTCCTGGACTGAAATTCTGAGTCTGAAAAATACCACAATACCACAATAGGTTATTTCTTTTTTTCCTTTTCCTCTTATTTTTTTTTTTTTTATTTTTTTCTTTCTGAGACGGAGTCTCGCTCTGTAGCCCAGGCTGGAGTGTAGTGGCGCTATCTCGGCTCACTGCAACATCCACCTCCCGGGTCCCCATTCAAGCAATTCTCCTGCCCCAGCCTCCCAAGTAGCTGGGATTACAGGCACACACCACCATGCCCAGCTAATTTTTGTATTTTTAGTAGAGACGGGCTTTCATCATGTTGGCCAGGCTGGTCTTAAACTCCTAACCTCGTAATCTGCCCACCTCGGCTTCCCAAAGTGTTGGGATTACAGGCGTGAGCCACCGCGCCTGGCCCCACAGTAGGTTATTTCTAAAAAACACTATTTAAATTTACATTTTATCAAGTAAAATATAAACCTTTATTATAGTTACCAAGAAGTCATTGGTTTGGAAACAATCACAAAAGAATGCAAGAAAGAACAAGAACGCCCAAAAGGGAAGAAAAGTTTTGCCAGTTTGTTTCCATAATATTGGTTCTATCAACTCAATAAACATAAATGCATCAATTAATCTGCTTCTCTATATTATTTTTAATAACAGTAAATAATCCCCATCTATTAAACGTGGAACAGCTATTTTTAAAATACACTTCAAAGTGTATACAATTATCAGTCTGCTGAAGGTATTCCTATCTTTCTTTCATCTCAATACCCCTACCACCAACACAAGTCATCTTCTCCAGAAAGGCTTTGTTTAATCTCATTCTTTGGTTACCTTTTCTTGCTAATAGCACTTTAGGAAAATATCTAATTTTCTTCCACCTTCCCTTCCTCTCCCATGTCACATCTCTGCCTCCAGATCACTGTATTCCAGAAGTGAAAATCAATTTCCAACATAGTGTAGGGGAATTTAATAAGCTTCTGAGACGAATGAAATGAGCAATCTCACATCTGGAAAATGTTTAATGAATGAAGAAGTTTTTTTAAAATCAGCATCCTGTTTCTACCTAAACATAAAAGCTCTTCTCTTAGCCCAACCTTTAGAAGTCAGCATTCTTTTGGTAGTCTCAACTCCTTGTTATCTCTGGCTTAGCCTGGGCTCTCTCTGTTTCAGGGAAAGAACATTTTGTTGTTGTTCTGCTGTGCTTTAGTTTGGCAAACTAAGAAAAAGAAAAAAACATTGAAAAGAAAAATCGTAACGTTAACAAAGTTTCCAACTTCATGCTGCAGACATGTATATAATCAGGTAACAAGTGTATGTTGAGGTAATTTAGTTATGGAAATAGAAATCCAAGTAGAGTCCTATGGGAATTAATTTCAGATGGGGAAGCGTGAGGATTTGGCCATTGAATCACATAGATCGTTAACTTGTGATTTATAGACTTTTGACTCTGGAAGTAGTCTAATGGATATAGATCAGAGATGTATTATGTCCAAGGCAGACAACTTCATGGGAAAATTGTTAAAATAATCCAGGCAAGAGGCAATAAAGGCCTGATACACCATCCAAACTATTTAATAAGAAATTATGCTGGCTGCTCCTGTTCCATTGACTTGGTTTAACCAGCCTTTACTTGGTCCTCAGATTATTCTTTTTATTTGCACTCTAAATTCCAACGATTCTTGCATTGTTTCCATATTCTTTTTCTGTCCAATATTTCCCTACCCAAACAATTGTGCTATTTCTAGGAACTCTTTTTCATAATCTCACTAGTTTGGTTTGCATATTCTTCAATTAAACCTCTCTCAATATTGAAAGAACCTCCTAAAACTATCCTTACTCTACCCTAAGCATCATCAGCCAAAGTTGTCCCTTTGTCCAGAGGTTCCTATCCCCTTCACCCTAAATTCAGCTTATCTTTCCTCTAACCCATGGACTTAGTCCATGCAGATTAGCATATTAGAGAAATTCATCCAAATCACCCCGAATTGTGGATTTGACTCTCTTTGAAGCTTTTTAAATGCTTGTTTACTTTCACTTTACTACAAGTATTTCCCTGTCTATAAACTTGACAACTACATTTAACCTTTTGTTCTGCAGTCAGCTTTAGAGGAGAAAGGTGCTCTTAGCTACAGCTGTCATTTCTATGAGCTTTGCCCCATGATTTCCTCCCTGATATCAAGAGGCAAGTCCCCTCATTTTGGGGAGTCACAGAACTCTATTACTGTCTAAATCTACCAGGTTCATTAAAACTCTTAAAAATATTTTACTAACATTTTTGCATCCACAATAATTTATCACATTATGAATTTGGACATTTAATCAAAATTGTCAAAATTACATTAAAAGAAAAACCCAGCAGAACAACAAAGAAATCTCATTTCTTGGATGTCATTGTTCAAATTTAGCAAAATATCTCTTCTTGCAAAATAATTCATTTATTCACACATCAAATTGCACTCTCTGTTAACTATACATTTTTACTAGAAGGACACGATTTGGCCTTCCAGTAAAATGGTATCCTCTATGTAGCTTTTTATTTGTTGCACTCCTTCTATTCAATTAAAAAAATATTTGCTACCTATTACACACAAAGCAATAAGCATGCTGTTTTGTTTTAGTTTAATTTTTTTTTCTACTGGTGTCCTATTTGTTTTTAAGCAAAAAATGTTTTCCCCAGTTTAATAAAAAGGGCCTCTTTACATTCCTTGTAGTGTGTGTTAAAGTACACAAAACAATGTTCTTTTGCTGAAACTGGTATTATTTTCTTGATTCTCTTTGCAAAAGCAACATTGTTTTTTTCATTCTTATTGAACATCAAAGTACTTATCAAAGGCTCTGAAGTGTGACCAATCTCAATTTTCCCAAAGAGAAGCCATACTTTTCCTAAGGGGGGAAAAAAGCACCTCTAGTAAAAATCCTATATTTGTGGTGTTGTCTTGTCTGTTTGACTAGTGTTTTAACTCTCTCTCCACTGCATTCTTTTTCTACAATTTCCTTGATATAGTAAATTCCAGGTTAATGTAACATAGATAACAGTGGGTTCTCTTATATATATATATATATATATATTTAAAATATTATTTCCAAAGTATTGTCTTAATTTAAAAAAATAGTTCTCGATTTTAAATTAAATTTCAGATTTTACGAAAATAAAGTTAAGTACACAGGTTTTCTTCTAAGTGGATCAGTGTAATTGATATGTATTTCTTCTAAGTGGATCAGTGTAAGTATTAATATATATTTTTAAAAATTTCCTTTAAAGTACTTTTTAAAATATTTGCTTTGCAATATTTAATAATAATTCTGAGGTTGGTGAATGAGAATGCAATATAAGCAATGAGAAAAGAAAAATATAATTCAATTAGTATACTCAGAGAAGTATTATTTTTAAAATCCTCAGATAAAATTTGTAAAAATTAAAAAGCAATATTTGTTTTATGAAATGGTAATACCATTTCAATTGTCATAGCTTGAGTGTTGTTTGATAAAGCTAAGAAGAGAAGAAACTCATAAGATGTATGAGTAATCTAAACCAGTTCTGTAAGTCATAGTTGGTAAGTTTAGATGGATGGATGGATGGATGGTAGAATGGATTGCTGGCTAACCAGATAGATGGATAGGTGTATGGATACATAAACAAAAAAACACACAGAGGCAGACAGATACCCTGACAGGAAACATGAGTCTATGAATCAGAGAACAGAGCATTTATTATTCACACAGCACCTTAGCATTGGCTCCTGCGCCCTGATCACCACAAGGTGATGTGATGAGAGCCTGATATTACTCAATGCTAGTAGTGGTGTTAAACAGGAGAATGAGACTTGAAGCCCACGAAGGACAGTGGCATATCAGCCCATCCTACCCCAAGAATGACAAGGACCCTACTCTAGAATGTAAACAATTCTCTGGAAATTGGAGGGGAAGTTCTCTCTCTATCACACTGGAATATAAATGAATGGCTCTGGGGAAGATATATTTGTAAATCTCTCTGGAACAATGCTCCGTTTGTAGCTTCTAGGACATATTTTGATATTCAGTCATTCTGATATGGTTTGGATTTATGTCCCTGCCCAAATCTCATGTCGAATTGTAATCCCCAGTGTTAGAGGAGGTGCCTGGAGGGAGGTGATTGGATCATAGGGGTGGATTTCTCCCTTGCTGTTCTCATGATAGTGGGTGAGTTCTCACAAGATCTGGTTGTTTAAAAGTGTGTAACACCTCCCCCTGTTTCCTCTTCCTCCTTCTCTGGTCACGTAAGACATGCCTGCCTCTCCTTTGCCTCCCTCCATGATGTAAGTGTCCTGAGGCCTCCCCAGCCATGCTTCCTGTACAGCCTGCAGAACTGTGAGTGAATTAAACCTCTTTTCTTTAAAATTACCCAGTCTCAGGTAGTTGTTTATACAGCAATGTGAGAAATGGACTAATATACATTCTTTAACCAAGTTTCATCAGCTTTTGCTAAAAAAGCCCAGGCTCTACAGAAACATGGAAATATTCATGTAGAATCACTTTCTTACAATAGTAATCATTATAATTAGTCTCTCTTTAAAATACTGTGTAGTTGGATATATTGTTGGTTTTATTAGGAAATGAGCATAAAATAGGAAACAGGCATAATAGCCACTTTCAATAAAGTAGCCTATGAAACTGCCACAGAAAATTAGGTTTTTATACTTACCTTTGCAAGTGTACAGAAGATGAATGTATATGAATGGTCAAATTACTTGAAAATGAAGTTTACCTGTAATTCCAAATTTTTCAGTTGTGCGTACATATGTATGTGTATTACACAAATTAAACATTATAAGTGGAAAACATGAATATTATGTTCGCATTGCTCAGTGAGAGTTACTCTGCCTGTTAGTGATGGGGCATAACTGGCATACAGGACCTTCTGAAGACCCCTGGCTGCTGTATTCATGCGGCCCATGGGGCTTTCAGCCACAGTTTATTCCAAGTAAACGGTTTAAAATTCTAGCTTTATTCACTGATTACCTATATTTATTTCCTATAGAGAAGACAGTATTGCAACTGTTTCAACTGTTTACATCTGGCTTTAGCATATTTTTAGAAGCCTGTACTGTACTTGATAATAATACTTTGAACAGCATGTATAAAATGTTTAATAATGCGAAGATAAGAGAATTGAAAAAATCTGATGGTTAAAGAATGGTTGAAAGCAAAAACATAAGAACAAATTTTATCATTTAAGGGAAAATACATATTTTTTCTTCTTTGAAAGTAATTTTTCCCTTCTCTGAGCTCTCATAAGATTTTATTGGTGTGTTTCATAGTTCCTCTTATACACTACAGTGTAATTATCTTTACTAGATTACAGGTTACTTAGCGACATCTTTGTATACTTCATAGCTTCTTACAAAATGCCTTATGTAGGTGGCTCTCAAGAAATTTGTCGAATTTCCTGAGTTTTATTTTTATTTTATCATGTTTTGTTTTCTGGTTGACGATCAAAATGAACCTCCTTTTATCAGAACACATTTCAAAACAACAACAAAACAAAATGAAGTGGCTGTAATCACTCTAATTCAATAATAAATAGGTGGATAATGTGAGACATTGTAAATATATTAAATAACTTTGCTGATATCGTAAGCACTGACCCACAATACGTAGGATTATGTAACTAAGCATAAAAATAACTTGTGTGGTACTTTGATAAACCACAAAATGGAATCTTCAAATTAAACAGTTACTGTTTTAAAACAAGCCTAATATGATGATGATCACCATTTCTGTTTTTTTGATATTATCATCATTAACATCTGTTTTCTTTAGTGTAGAAATGATTCCAAAAGGCAAGAGATGTTTAAAACTACATAATGCTTTTAGTCTCTTTACTAATTCATAATATGTTGTTCTTCATGTTAACTTTTAACGAATCCCAGTTTAAACTTGAAAGTAAAAAATATGAGAAAATAACTACTTTTTAATTTAGGAAGTCCCACAGTGTGGAGCTTGTTACTCCCCACATAATTATAGGTTAAATATATAAACACTTTTTAAAGACTAGTTTAGATAAATTGATAAATGGTATGTCAAAAAGAGCTTATTTGGGAAGTAAAGACAGTTTACAATTAAACATTTAATATCTTCTTAAAATGATAACGTTTGTTTCCTATTATAAAATGCTTCATATATATGTTTAGAAAATTTGTGTATTGAGGGAAGAGAGAGACCTTCTCATATTGTTTTATATTGTTTTATACTCAGTACCTGTTTTAAGAAAAAACAACAAGGCAGTAAAACCAAAGACAGGCAGCCCGGTGTCAGGCCCGAAAACAGGCCTGGGCCTGCCTGGCCTAAACCCAGTAGTTAAAAATCAACTCATAACTTAGAAACTGATGTTATTCATAGATTCCAGACATTGTGTAGAAGAACACTGTGAAACTCCCTGCCCTGTTCTGTTTCTCTCTGACCACCGGTGCATGCAGCCCCTGTCACGTACTGCCTGCTTGCTCAAATCAATCACAACACTTTCATGTGAAATCTTTAGTGTTGTGAGCCCTTAAAAGGGGCACAAATTGTGCATTTGGGGAGCTCGGATTTTAAGGCAGTAGCTTGCCAATGCTCCCAGCTGAATAAAGCCCTACCGTCTACAACTCGGTGTCTGAGAGGTTTTGTCTGCGGCTCGTCCTGCTACAGTATTATGGGCCAATAGTCCACAAAGTGTCACCCCAAGACTTTTTGGAGTTCTTCAAGGCCAAATATTTTTCCTAATAATAGTAAGATATATTTGCCTTCACTATGTTGATATTTGTACTGATGGAGCAAAAGCTGACATGGGTAAAAGTGCTGTACCTCAACACAGATCAAGGCTGGGCACAGACTTTACTGGTGGACACTGCATTCTTCACTACTTAACACTGCTAGTATGAAAGAAAATAAAAGCTAAGTTCACTTAAGAATGTCCTTGAAGAAATAGTGAACATTATTAATTTTATTATATCTTGACCCTTGATGGGGTCAGCCCTAATATATTCACAGGTTCCATATCTGCAGATTCAATAACTATGGATCAAAAAGATTTCAAATATATATGTGCAACACAACAATGAAAAATATGCCAGGCATGGGAGTACCTGCCTGTAATCCCAGCAAACTCAGGAGGCTGAGAGATGATCACTTAACCCAGGAGTTTGAGACCAGTCTGGGCAACATAAGGAGACCCCATCACACACACACAAAAGGAAGAGAAAGAGAAATATAATACAAATAAAGAACAAATACTGTATAGCAACTATTTACATAATTTAGAGATGATTTAAAGTGTACACGAGAATGCATGTAGGTTATATGCAAATACTACTTCATCTTAAATAAGGGACTTGGGCATCTGCAGATTTGGGTATTTGCAGAGGTCCTAGAAACAATCTGCTGTAGATAACAAGGGAAATTTGCAGTTATCTTCTAATATTATGTGTATGCATGAAGCATACTTGTATTCTTATGCCTTAAATATCTGGGACTCTTACAGAAGGCACAATACAAAGGAATAAAATAATTAAATACCTTGAAAATAATTCAATGATTTAAAAATACAGATTGCAAGAGGAGAAGGTTAAAGAAATCCAGATTTAATCCTTTTTTTATATATATATTTTTATTATACTTTAAGTTCTAGGGTACATGTGGACAACGTACAGGTTTGTTACATATGTATACATGTGCCATGTTGGTGTGCCGCACCCATCAACTCATCATTTAACATTAGGTATATCTCTTAATGCTATCCCTCCCCCCTCCCCCCACCCCACAACAGGCCCCAGTGTGTGATGTTCCCCTTCCTGTGTCCATGTGTTCTCATTGTTCAGATTCAATTCTTATCAGAGAAAGATAATTAAACGGAGATCACTCAACTAAGACTTTTTTTTCCCCGTTTCAAACAGCAAAATGCGCTTACATACTCATTTAAATTGAATTCATAAAGTGAAACCTAAAACAGCCAGTTTGTGGTTAAGTCTCCTCCCTACTTCTTGCCCTTACTGTAACTTCCTCAGGCCTTGCCTTTCTACTGCATTTATATGTAGATACAAATAGTATCTGTATCTATTTTCCTCAGGGCCTGAACTACCTGAATGCATAGTGGGCTACGAGTGCCTGAGAATTAAAGGTTCTGGGAATAGCCCACGACTGATTGAAAGTTGTCAGGTACAGAACCTAAATGAATTCTATGCTGCCTTCCAGAGTTCCCTGTAGGATTACATTCCAATTCCTTATAGCAGTGACTTGTTTGAAAACAAATTCTTTATTGGCTGCCTTTATTTTTCTATCATAACTACATTTTTTCTCTTTGACAAAAGTTTATTTTATTTTAGCCTATTTCATTAAGAAAAAATACTGCATATTACCCATTAATCTCATTTCATTACTCACTAATGAGTCCCAACTGACATTTTGAAAAACCCTAGCTTCTGAAGATAAAATGATGAGCAAAAGCAGATGCCATGTATCTTCAAAGAATCTTAGATAAACATAAATCAAATCATTTCAAAAGTTAATGTGAAAGTTACCTCTGTAATTGCTGCAAAGCAAAGGTACATGGAATTAAGAAGATATGTCAGGAAGATCTGCACTGGAGACAGGGAGGAGGAACAGTAAGGGGAGGCTTCCTCAAGAAATGGTGATTAAGCTGAAATTTGAAGAAGGGTTGGAGTAAATTCTGAGGATGGCTTATTTAGAGAGAATATCTTTGTGAGAAGTTGGACATGGAGGGTGTTATGTAATGAATGTTTGTATCCACCCAAAATTCATATGCTGAAATCCTACCCACCAATGTGATTGTGCTAAAAGGGTCTTTGGGAGGTAAATTAGGTCAAGGTGATTTAGGTGAAGCCCTCATGAATGAAATTAGCCTCTTTTAAAAGGGACCATAGAGAGCTTGCTAGTGCTCTTTGTGGCATTTGAGGGAACAGCCAGGAGTTGGCGGTCTGTAACCTGAAAGTGGACCCTCACCAGAACCTGACCACACTGGCCTCCTGATCTTAGACTTCAGCCTTCAGAACTGTGAGAAATAAATTTCTGTTGTTTATAAGCCATTCAGCCTATGGCACTTTGTTATAATAGTTTGAACTAACTAAGACAGAGACTGAGGAAGAAGGAGACATCAAGAACAACTGCTAGATTCATGGTTTGCCCAGTTAGATGGATGATGATGGTGTTTGCTGAACAGGGAAGACTAACAAGGACCATATTTGGGCAAAGATGGGGTGGAAATATCCTAAAAGCATTATTAAACATACTGCTTTTAAAGTATCCATGTGGTAAACCCAAGAAGGTAATTAGATAAGGGGATCTGGATTCCAGAGCCAAAGTCTAGGACTTAAATAACAATTGATTATCTGCACATGGTACAGTATAGAAAAAAAGCAAAAGAAAGTGAACAGAATCTGATAATATTGTGTTATATACTTCCTATGTATGCTCCATCTGATTTCCTAAGTGAATTTTAAGGGGTTCTTAAATAAATTTTGTACAGAAAATTGGTCAAGTGAAAGAGAATAATATTTATGTATAAAAAGTTAAAAAGACAAGTTGTACTATCAAACCTGAAGAAAAGATATTTGCCTGTGATCATGATCATGATATTAGCCAATACTATGTAGCTGGCACAACATTAGGCCCTTTATATGCAATACCATTATTAATTAACAAAATCATATGGAATAGATAGCCCAGTTTTCCAGATGAGTAGATAGATAAAATAATTACTTCAAGATTATAAATCTAAAAAAGCCCAGATTAGGGATCACTACATTGAGCATGTCTCATTGCAGAGCCCGAATTTCACTGTGCAGCCAAATGCTGTCAGACAAGATCTTTGACCATATGCTTTCCTCAAAAGAAATATTCTCTTTTAAGCTGCTACACTATATCAATCCTATGAGTAATTACTCTTTTTTCATATAAAAGGATACATTTTCATATATATATGCCAGTTAAAAATTATGATGCTTATAAATGCCTTTAATGGCGATAGAATAATAAACATAACATAAAAGGTCTTATCGGTAATTTTATTGTTCATTTACTTATTCATTCATCAATATTTATTGAGCACCTACACATGTATCACGTACTGCTCTTGATGCCTACTATGTCAGACAGCCCATGCGTAATAGAAATGGGAATTCAGAATAAGTTTCCTTGACCTTGTCATGGATTACAGGACAAAAAAGTAAGACTTTTTTCTATCATCTCTCTTTTCCCTCTGATCTTTTTATAATGTATGCCATAGATATGACCAGGGCTTAAATGATTTGGAAAGCAAATAAAGAGACAAGCACATGGGAATTGGTTTTTTAATTGACAATACCAATATATGTTTTTAAAGAATGTAATAGTAAAGTAATTCAAAGTTTTGGAATACAATATAGGGGGAATCACATTCAGATATAAGAGATTTGACTTGTAAGTCAAACTGGACAAATGTATGCAATGCTTTGAAAATTTATTCACTGTGATTTTTGAGAACAACGACTTACCCTTGTAGACAAAGGTAAAAACAAAATAACAAAATTGTCAAAAAGTATTTAGACTCAGGAAACTATCTCTTGCTGGTCAGATTCATTCAAGTTTCTTTTTCAATGCAAAATAATCAAATTAACCTACCATAAGTGGTTTGGTTAAACATGTAACAGAAATGAATAGATATACATGGCCAGAGAGTGAAATATATGAAACTGTAATCATATATGTTTGTTTGTTGGATGTTTGCATGTAAAAGAAGGAAGTTCTGTGAGTTTGACTGGGAGATACAGTTCCCACCCTTGCCTCAGCTGCTGCTCTCTTTCTTTGCTCACCTTTACAGAAACATTCTGAAATAGGTACCTTTCCTGGATCCACTTCAGTTAGGCTTTGCTTCTTGTAGTAGGCTGAAAGATAGCCACCTAGAGATACCATGTGGAACCATAAGTTATCTTTCAAGGAAAATGGGTCTCTACAGATGGGATTAAATTAAGGATCTTGACATGGGAGATTATTTTGGATTATCTGTGGGGTGGGAGGGGGGGATCCGTAAATCCAATCACATTTCCTTATTAGAGGGAGGTAGATGAGATTTGATATACACAAGAAAAGAGGAGCAATGTGAAAATAAAGGTACAGATTGAATTTGAGTGGCCACCAACAAATGCATGGCAGCCACAATAAACTGGAAGAGGCAGGTTAGAGGCCCTGGACGGACTATGGCCTGCCAACACCATTATCTCAACCTAGTGAAACCCCAGTATTAAACTTCTGGCCTCCAGAACTGTGAAAGCATACATATCTGCTATTTCAAGCTACCTATTTTTGTGGTAATTTATTAGGACAGCCATAGGAAACAAATACAGCTCTATTCCAAAATAAAAATCTGCTGTAGTCAAATTCACAAATGAATTAGCAGCTAAATCCAACATACTCAAGGCTATGCTATCTGACGTGGTTGATCATTCCCTCCATTTATCCTTTAGTTGGTGTGATGGTCAGTTTTATGTATCAACTAGGATATAGTCCCAGTTATCCAATAAAATGCCAATCTCAGTGTTTTTGTGAAAATGTCATTAAAGCCTATAAATAATTGACATTAAAAGAGAGACTTTATCCAAGATCATCTGGATGGGTCTGATTCAATCAGTTGAACAGCCTTAATATCAAAACTGAGAATGTCTGAAGAAGAAAAATGAGAAGGATGAAGAGGAGGAGGAGGAGGAGCGGGGAGAGGAGGAGGAGGAGGAGGAAGAGGAGATATAATTCCACTTGTGGACTGTATCCTTCACTCATCCCCAAAAATTCCAGCCTGCCATTCTTGACAGCCTGCCCTGCAGATTTCAGATTTGCCTAATCTGATAAGCCAATTCTCTGCATAAATATCTTAATATACATTTACTACTACTTCTGTTTCTCTGGTTGAACCCCGATTGATACATTTGGCATTGAGGATATCACACTTTCCTGGCTTTACTCCTATTTGAACAGCTGTTTCTTTTCAGTCTCCTGTACTCTTTTATCTTCATATTTCTTACCTCTTAATGTTGGAAAATCCAAGACTCCACATTTGGACCTCGTTTTTCTCGATTTCACTCACTCCATGATTTATTTTAAATCTTCCCCATGTGCTGATCCCTTTGAATTTATTTTTAATCTCCAGCCTGGATCCCTTCCCTAAACTTTCATTTTATTCACCCAGTTGCCTGCATCTCCACCTTAGGCTTTTACTAGGCATTTTAACATAAGATTTAATATCTTTAGATTTCTGTCTAAATCTGGATTTCTCATCTTCTTCAGTCTTCCCTTTCTTAGTAAAGGACACCTGTCCTTCCTGTTGCTCAGGCCAGGATCTTGAAACCATACTTTACTTCTCCCTTTATTTCACACCCTATCCGATAAATTAACAAATAAAGGAACTCTATTTTTGAAAGTTATCACAAACAGGGACACTTTCTCCTACCCTGTTCCAAAGTACGAACTGGGCACGGTGGCTCATGCCTGTAATCCCAGCACTTAGAGAGGCTGAGGCGGGCCGATCACCTGAGGTCAGGAGTTCGAGACCAGCCTGGCCAACATGGCAAAACTCCATCTGTACTGAAAATACAAAAATTTACCTGGGCATGGTGGTACGTGCCTGTAATCCCAGCTACTCGGGAGGCTGAGGCAGGAGAATTGTTTGAACCTGAGAGGTGGAGGTTACAGTGAGCCGAGATCACACCACTGCACTCCAGCCTGGGCAACAGAGTGAGACTCTGTCACAAACCAGCAAACAGAATCAAAAAACAAAGTGCCATAATATTTTACTTATTGCATTAATATCCTAGATGTTTTTTCTTCTGTCCTTGCTGCCATGTGTGTGTACACACACACACACTCTCTCTCTCTCACATACACACATACAAATGCATCATTTATTCTCCATAGGCTAGTTAGCAATCCTTGTAAAACATAAATAAAATTACAACATTCTTCTGCTCCAAACCATCTGGAAGCTTCTTGATTTAGAGTAAAAGCCAAAGTTCCTTCAATGACTAGCCTGATATGGATCACCTCCACTGCTGATTTCAACTCCTGCCACTCTTTTTCTGCCTCCCTGAGACACAACCACACTCATCTTTTCGTTTTTTTGTGGAGCAAACAAGGAAAATGCAAGGATTTGGAATTTATTGATCCCTCCTCTGCTCACTTCACCCATGTCCTAGTCCCACATAGCTTGTTCCTTTACTTTTATCTCAGTCATATGCTCCAGTATCACCTCATCAACAATGTCATCCATGTTAATTCTAGTCAAAATTATAATGACTTTCCCTTCATCTATTCACTATCCATTGTCCCTGCTTTACTTCTCCCCACAGCATAATCGCCGTCTGTGATCAGTACATGATATGTTATGTGTTCACTTAGTTTCTGTCTCCTACCACTAGAATATAAGTTCCTTAATACCAAGCATTTTTTGTTCACTGCCATATCATTTGGGGTCTAGTACAGTGCCTGGCACATAGTAGGCACGCAATAAATAGTACATGAATGAATGGATGACTGAGTGAGCTTTGGCTTATGATTGGGTGGATCCATAAGCCAATATGAACAAATAAAAGAACATTTAATAACACAGCCAAAAACACCTTGAGAGGCTAGCCATTTTTTATCTTATTTTTGTAGTGTTGCTTATTGGGTTGATTTCCCGCAAATTATTTTGGCAACAACTACTTTGTAGGCATTTTTTTTTTTCAATAATGTGTCTTTCGGGATATATGACTACCTATTAGATCTCTTTTTAGTCTGCTTGATGTTAAAGGTCTAAGGATGGAGGAGGATTAAAAAAGAGAGGTCTTAGAACAACACTGTAACACTTTGTTTCAGTTAGATATTCAAGACTAAAGAATTCACTTATTTTGCCTTTAATTCACTTATTTTTGTCTTGAACATTTTTATAATTAACTTCGTTAAATTTCTCTTATTCCATAAAGTTTATTTTTACTTATTAGTATTGAATGTGCCTCGATTAGACTCAGCAGCGTATAACTGTATGGGAGCGGATGTAGATAGCTGTCCAGCCACATAAATGCTCCTGTGACTGGTGGAGAACACCAGCACAGTAGTGACTTAGTGACTCCAGTGTTAATTGAATGAATATTTTACCTCACAATTTTTTTTCTGACTTGGAGGCACAATAATGTAACTGTATTAAAAGAACATGCCGTGCACCTGGGGAGGATGGGTGGTTAAGAGCACTCTAAGGGTTTTCACTGATTGTACTCAGGGGTGCAGCAGGACTGATTTGCTTCACATGGATGAATAGTTTGACACCTTGTTGCTTAAAAATTGCTTATGTTTAAAGTACACTCCACAGCTAAAGGGCTATGCAGATGCCACATTACTGAATAGCATATGGACATCTCCGGGGCTGTTAAAAATGATCACACCAACCGTCTGTTTTTACTGGGGCTTACTGTATTTATACAGTTCTAAGAGAGAAGATTACACCTTCCAATGTAGCTCAGGGGACCTATATTAAGGAGGAAAGGAAGCAGAGAAAGGACTTGTGAACTTGCAAGCCAAACTTTATGTTTCAGTAATGGTCTCTTTCTTAACAATGTGGCAGTTTTAAATCTCAGAAAGGCCAACATAATTTTAAGATAAAAACCACTATTTTTAAAATTTATAACTTAAGTCTTTAAAACCTCTCACTATGTACAGTTTGGTGGCAAGAATGGAGTGACTGGCATTTTTTGTTTGAACAGCAAAACTCATTTAGTTGCTGGCACAAATTTATATGAGTTCAAAAATTGTCCCCAGCTTTGTTGTAACTTCAGAGTTTCTACCTGGGAAAGAAAAGGGCCTAAAAGAATAGCTATGTTTTCCCTCAATAACAGAAGGAAGACTTTACCTTCTGTGACCCCTTACTTCTTAGTTCTGTTCATAGCCTGTATCTTTTTCTATTACCAAACCTCTAAATTTCTCCTGGTATTTAAATGGTCCACAGTGTCAAGCAGCATGCTGAGCACATAGTACCTCCTCAGTAGAGCATAGATAATGTGCAAGACACAGGGCTGAGGACTATGGGGAAGACAGTACCCCAGCCCCTTATATTTATGCCAGAAGATATGGGGAGAAGGACTGCAGCTATTCCTCTACAAATTTTTACTACAGCAAACACCAGATGAATTGTACAACATAAGTTTCATTCAAATTTGTCCTCTGAGTATGTAAAATCACAAGTCCTTAATCACCAAGAGCAAAAACAATTTCTGAGCAGCATCTTGTGGAATAAGTGACTTATCACCATCATATCACATGGTGCTCTCTTGGCCCCATTTCAACCATCTTATGAGTAACAATAAAACTTTACATAATAATTAATAACAATATATTGTATTCTTGAAAAATGCCAATAAAGTAGATTTGAAGTGTTCTCATCACAAAAATGACAACTATGTGTGGTAATGCATATGCTAATTAATTTGATGCAGCCATTCCATGACATATATATATTTCAAAACATCATGTTTACATAATAAATATATACAATTTTTGTCAATTAAAAAAGAAAAAAGAAAAAAGAAAACACGTGCACACACATAAACAAATTTACAAAGGCCATCTTGAGGCAGGGTATGTTGAAGAGAGGATATACAAAATCTATGAGTTTGTCACACTAACAAAATAAGTATATACTTGGATTTACATGCTTCTCAGTTTTAACCTATTTAAAGCATCTGGAAAGCCAAGTGATCTTTATCAGTGTTAAAAAGCCCACTAGTAGTTTATCTTAGTTGCCACACAATTATGTATTTTTTAATTAATTCACTTTTTGAACCTAGTTTTGGAAAATTGTAATTGGATTAATATATAGTGTTTACTATACGTCAGACACTGTGATGACCACTTAATTCTAACAAAACCAAGTAGAAAGTCCTACTGCTTTCCTCATATTATGAATTATAGTTTAGTAATGCTAAATAACTTGCCCAAACTAAACTAAACCCCTATTACATGGCAAAATCAAAATTGCAACCTTGTCCCTTGACCCTAAAGCCTATCCTCTGGCCTGATGCTTTTTGACATAAGATCAAATAGGGAATGAGAAAGATGAAATGATGTAATGCTCTAGAGGTTGTAGCTACATATATATAAAATATTTTAAAAATTACTTGTATGCCGGCCGGGCACGGTGGCTTACGCCTATAACCCCAGCACTTTGGATCTGGTGGGCGGATCAAGAGGCCAGGATATCGAGACCATCCTGGCTAACACGGTGAAACCCCGTATCTACTAAAAATACAAAAAATTAGCTGGGCTTGGTGGTGGGCGCCTGTAGTCCCAGCTACTCAGGAGGCTGAGGCAGGAGAATGGCGTGAACCCGGGAGGCGGAGCTTGCAGTGAGCGGAGATCGCGCCACTGCACTCCAGCTTGGGCGACAGAGCAAGACTCCATCTCAAAAAAAAAAAAAAAAAAAAAAAGTAACTTGTATGCTTTTGAACCCTTTGATGGTAAGATATAAATGAAGCATCTTACCCTGTGTTCAGAGTATTCAGAATTGCAAAACACAGAATATTATTTGAAAATGTTACTGTGGACAAAAAATGACCAAGATAGAAGCCAAGAATAAGAGAAGGGATGCTGATGGGATGAAAAAAGAAAAAAGAAAGAAGAACAACAAAACCACAAATACTACCAGATAAAAACACATAATATTTAATCTCATTTATGTAACTTTTTGTGTAGGTGTGTTCAAGAGAGAATAAATATAAAAATGCATGCATAGATGACTCTTACTAAAGTGTTAAAGAAATATAAGAACAAAGCCAAAAGTACAAAAAAGAAAAATGAAAAATAAATCACTTGATGTCATCACCTGACATTAAAGATGAAATATAAACATAGGTATAAGCAAAGGTTGAGATTTTAGTGACCTCTAGATATCATGAAGTTTCTAATTTTTTAAAATTTTTTCTAATTTTTCCAGAGAAATCTCTGTTAAAAATCAGAATCATCTCCTAAAACCCCAGCTCTATCCGAACACCTCTTTCTACCCCAAACACACTCATAAACACGCACTCATAAGCAATCACATGGCACAGAATTGCTCCTACTAAACCGAACATTAGTATCAGTCCTTTAGCTACATTGAGGAACTTGAACATGAAATTTATTTTTAACATACTGTAAAGAGATTGTCATTTTTATGAACTACCGGGCAGTTTTGCCAGATTTTAAACCTGTAAGTGATTCAGTGGCTTACATGGTATATTCTTTATGAAGACAAAAGGAAACACATTTCTCTCAGTTCCAGGAATAATTGTGTCTCTAAGCACTTTAATATACACTGGAAATCATGTAACTGTCTGAACTCTATCTTGGCTGCCAGAAAGAGTGATGTCAAACCATAATCCTAGTTTTATATTTTTCTTATCTTATGGACTTCTTTACTCCAATTTTTTTCCCTTATTGTTAGTTGTTTTAACATACGAACATTTTGTAAGACCTTTTAAATATTTCAGCATCAATGTAGGTTATATGTACGTACCCACAAATAACAATAATGGCCTGGGAACAAGAAGCGGACATACCAACACTAACTGTGGGGCACACAGAAGAAAATAGGCCTTAGCAACACAGACTAAGGGTGACTGCTTAGTCTGTGTCGCTAAGAGGAATTTTAAATCAATATTACAACTTATATTCATTGTATATTTGCATATAAACAACCTACATATGTATATGTTTTCATTATAGAAACAAAGCCATTTTTATTATTTTAAATTATCAAAATAGAAAATCCCTACCAGTACCAATATGTGTGTATGCCTGAACTGGAGGAAACCTAATTAACTATTATACAATGGGAAAAGCCA
This sequence comes from Homo sapiens, assembly GCF_000001405.40. Classification (NCBI taxonomy): domain Eukaryota; kingdom Metazoa; phylum Chordata; class Mammalia; order Primates; family Hominidae; genus Homo; species Homo sapiens. Next base: position 93,289,477 of record NC_000004.12, on the reverse strand, counting down.
GGCAGCCAGCATCCTTTAAGGAGTTCTCCCTACGGCATCCCGATAAGGTCTGGATTTGCCACATGCCCTAATGCATTCCAATAAACAGCTTTATGATGTAATAAGTAGCTATTTGTTTGCTTTTGCACTGAATCCAGTCTCTTAAAAAAAAGACAGGAGAAATATTTAGTCCTATTTTCTTCAACTATCATTTTTTCTTTCAGAAGTTTATTTGATAGTCAGTATGATAATAGAAACTTAAAAGGTTGATTATGTTCTCATTCAAGCAAAACGACTACTAGTTAATCACCTACCTATGAAGCTTCTTGGCACCAAATTTACCAGTTTTGTACAAAACACTGCAGGATCATCAACAACCACTTATGACTGACAAACATATACAATGAATTTATCATTTAAAAAATAGTCTTACCCAATTTTCCAAAAGGTTTCTTATTATATTACAGCCTTTTGGCAAAATAAGGCATGTTGTTTCACACTTAATAAAACAAATACTATACCTGTCTTGAAAGAAAATTGCAGGAAAAAATTTAGAGCACTGAGAAAGATTCAGTCAAAGAATAGAAAATCAACCTAGTATTTCAAGAGAGTGAAACTACTTCTCACTTTAACAAGACTGCTATTCACACAATACAGGGAAAACATAAAAATTAAGCATAGAAAACATAATTATTAGAGGGAATTCAGGAAACAAATTTTGGAAGCCCAATGGAAAAGGTATCTTTAAACCTTCACAAGAATATGTTAGAAATATTAGAAACACAAATTTTTACTCTGATACAACATATCAATGTATGGTTAGCAGCCCCATGCAAACTTATATAAAAGGATAGAGTCTCATTTTCAATGTATGCAATAAAAAGTATATAGGTGAGGAAGCCCAGGAAACTCAGAGTTATTAGCAAGCCAATTCTCTTTGGACAGATGGAGCACCTGAGGCAGTTAGACTCCATTTCTCCTGCAAGATAGTGGCCATCTAAGGGCAGTGATGGATACACAGAGGCAGGAGACCACCTGTCCATCACCAACAGCATCATGAATGCCCCAGGAAGTGCATATGAGTTCTGAAGTCTTGGACCCCAAGCACCAGAAACCCAGCTGACACTTGTGTGAATAGAAATGCTCTATTTGGATTTGGCTCAAGTCCATGGTTTAATAATAATTTTGATTGCACATTATTATTTTGGAACTTTTTTATATTTCTATCAATCCAACTGCTGCATCATCTCAACAGTATCTTACTGGAAACAATGATAATTTCAAGCTGTTGATGCCTGTATCTCTGTCTCTAATGTAAAAGGCATTAAATGAAGAACAATTTAACATCATTTAAGGATATCCCAATAAAATATAATTTGAAAAGACAGCAAATCTATATTTAAAAATTTATTGGCAGAAACACAAATCTTAAAAATAAATTTTAGGAAATATTGATGTGTGGGGATAATTTATCAGGGTTAGATGTCTCTATTTCTAAGTCATTTAGGTTTAATTATTAGGGAGAGCAAGGTAGAGAAAGGGAGAATAGTGGCCCCTAATTTATGCCTTCATCCTTTCAACTGTTTACTCAAAACGCATTATGAGCTTTTATGCTAATAATATTGACAGACTGGTATCAATGGAACTTGTGTAATGGAGAAATCCCATCTAGGTATTGCCTCCAGAATTGGCAATACAGTATCAGAACAATTATCAAGTGAATATAGTGAACATGCTCTCTTTATCAAGTGAATTTAGCCTTTCCTAGTTAAACAATAAAATATTAACATAGCCATTTGGCTAAAATGCTGATGTCACATGTTTATAGATTAGGAAAATATTTTAAAATGTCATTTGAAGCAAGATGAAAAGAAGCAACTGTCCTTTCATTAAGTTAAACTCTTCTAATACTCCCTAAATTCAGTATAATTTTTCTGAATTTCTCCTTGTCATAGAAAATTCTCCGAAGACATAGTCTCTTCTCTCAGTGGCTGTAGCACTACTAGAGTTATGATAATAATAACAGAGTGTTTGTTTGAAACTGATTTTTGAGGGTTTGTCTGACTGTGCCTCAGGATAGCACTGTGGAAACTCTTTCCTCTGCAACTTTCTACCTGCCTAAAGTGAGGCTCCCAGTTCTTCTACTATCACTGTTGCCTTGGATAAACAAGTAATTCAGGTAAGGCCTGATACTTCCTTCTTCCCACCTTTCTAATCCAGACTTTCTCTCATAAATAGTAAAAACTAAATGACAGAAAAACAATTTTTCCAACATTCTTCATAAGCCTTTACAACTCCATAATGATATTTTTTCCCAATAGGGTAATCAACTTAATCAATTACTTGGTGGCTAAGCTACAGTATCTGCTTACCTTTCTTTTCATTTTTTTCTCACTTAAGTTATAAGAAATAGAAGGAGAACAATTTTTACTGAGTTATCTACTATGATTGAAGGATAACGCTGGGTATCATATATATTTTTTCTTACCTTGATTTCACAATAATACTATCATTTTTCTCACCTTAAGAATAAAAACACTTCAGCTAGAATGAAGTCAAAACACTGATTGTATAATATTATTCTAATTTTTCTATATAGATATTAGTCCCCTAATTATTAATTTCAGAAGAATGCTGAACTTCATTCAAAAGAATATAATTTGGAAAATAATTTTTTCAGAAGGCAAAGAATAGTCCTGTGGAAGGGGCTTATCTAATGATGATATATATATAATTCTGGTTGGATTAAGATAAATTCCACAACTAATGTGGGAACATACACACACACACACACACACACACACCCCCACACACACACACATACACAAAAGCTTTTCCCCATTGAGGGGCTCACAATTGAAGTTTCCGGAGGTGATGGTCTTTGAGATGGTTCTTAAGTGATACAGTGTGTTTTGGTAAGACAATATTAGTGTTTGTTGGTGAGTGAGGCTTGGGGAAGTTATGGCAAGGAAGCTCCCAGGAGAAGTTAATGGCAAAGCACAAAGAGGTGAGGAAGGGTGATATGAACCCTGGAAGGAGTATGCAGTTCTTAAAACTAGAATGCAGATTCAGTCCATAAATAGAAGATGAATTTGTAAATAAGTACTAAGCTTGGACATGGGACAAATAAAATTGATAATACTGGGAGCCAATCATTGGTATAGATTTTATTGGCTTAATCTAAATTTTCTGGTTAATCCATCTTCCTAATAGGCTACAATTGGTTCATTTATTATTGTCAGGTCAACGTTCTAGTCATCTTCATTTACAAATAATGACTTCAGAGAACAACTAGCTCAGTCTATTTTTATAATCTATATAAGCTTTCTGTTTATATAATAATCCTATTATGTTTGATTTTTACATCAGTCACAACTTACTGAAATAGTTTACATAAAATCAATGGCATATTCTATATGCAGAAAAAGTTTTTTTCTGACATGTATTGTTATTTGAAAATTTGATACATGTAGGCATAAATTATAATTTCACTCCAAATAAACTACACAGCTTATTGATACTTACAGCGTATTAAAATCTTAACACAAAATAATTTAAGTAGACTAAAAATCACTTTCCCAGGATTTTGAAAGATGTCTTTGTAGATCAAATTCAGAGTGCAGGATTTTATTTTCAAGCAACATAAATTGTATGATTACAAATTATGCAATCTTACCCCTATAGCAGTATAAATAATTATACTATTACCATCAATTCTTGACTTTTGTATCACTCCAAATGCTTATTTAAAAAGACAGAATTTTAATTCATATTTTAGCATTTGAAATATTATGATATTGCTAATTTTAAACAAGTTTTTAAAGACTTCATTTGCTTTTAGACAAATTGAGAGTTTATACTTACTTTCCCTTTCTTACATAAAATATTCTATAAAAATAGTACACATAGAAAAAAGTGTATAATCATCTATGTTTTAAACATCACTGGAATTTCACAGTGTCAGCTATTTAGTATTGTTTCTAACATGTCAAATAGGACAGGCAAATTATCTTAAGACATGGGATTTAAACAAGTACTTCTTGATATTTCTTATTTTTTAATGCACATGTTTTATTTTTTTCCTTTTTCATGATAAAGGTTTATATAGAAAAGATTCACTATTTTTCTTACACAGAAATATAAAATAACAAGAAGTACCTATACATAGTTTGCAAAAGCAGAAGTATCAGGGCATATAGGGTTTCTCAAACTTGAATTCTAATGTTCTATGAAAAAGTTGGTCTTTAAAGGAACTTAAGTGCACAGACTCATGCAGTGATGTGAAAAATACTATTCAGGTCATCATGAATTTACTTGAGAAATATTTTTTATTACAAAATGCTCTCTGGAAAACTAGGTATTACCTATTGGATATAAAATAACATAGGTTGCTTTTAATTATAACACTTTGCCTGTGATTGCTGGTATAGTATATGAAGTCAGATGAGATATTGAGAGACCAAAAGCTTCCTTTGGTTTAAAAAAATTAAAAAATTCCAACATCACTGATGTATCAGTTTTTCCAGTTCTGCAATTAGCATTTATTCACTTACTCACCTACCCACTCACTCATTCACTCATTCATCCAATATTTATTGAGTATCTATATGGCCCAGATGTTGTAGATATAATGACTGATTTATTTTGAAGGAACCAAGTCTCGCTGAAAAGCTAAATATGTACCGAAATATAATAAAATATGTTCTTTATTATTCTAACTGTATTGTTATCCATATATTTCATACAAATTAATTATATTTTTCCTCTATATAATGTATACATTCTGTCACCATATAATTATATATTTAAAATTTGGTATAATTCTGCAAACAAAATAATGTACATTTATAGACTCCAAGATTTCATGCTATCTTCAAACAAGGTGGAGTGGGGAAATTGAAGATATAATCCTTCTGTTGTAGTCACATAATTGAAAAATGTGCTTTTATTTATTAATTTATTATATATTTTAATTATTATTTTTAACTTCTATTTTAAGTTCAGGGGTACATGTGCAGGTTTGTTACATAGGTAAATGTGTATCATAGGGGGTTGTTGTACAGCTATGTCATCACCGAGGTATTAAGCCTAGTACCCATTGGTTGTTTTTCCTGATCCTTTCCCTCCTCCCATCCTGCACCCTCCAATGTGTGCCCCAATGTGTGTTGATCCCCTCTATGTGTCCATGTGATGACAGGCTTTAGTGGTTGGATCTAGCTCTTCTAATATTTTCAATTTATATTTAAAGAAATGGGAAGTAAAAAGAGCAAAAAATGTTGTTATGTTTTCATTTCCACCCTTAGATGCAAAAGAATCAAGCTATCATTATATAGGTATATTAGGGCTGTAAATTGAAGATTTAAACATTAATAAAAGGAGACAAGAAGCTGCCAGTAAAAAGATAAGAAAAAGTAGAAAATCTGTCATCTTGTAAGGAAAAGAAAATCAAACTAGATGTGAAAAAATGATTGTTAGTTTAAAAGTAATGAACAGTGAAACCTAACTATAAAATCTTTAACACTTGGAACTACATAGTGTAACCATTAATATACTTCTATGACACACAATATTATAGAGATTGAGCTAGGTCCTCCAGTGTAAACTACTACCCGCAGATAAGTTTTGGAATGTTAATGAATTCTCTAAGGCCACTGGAATGTATTTGTTTTCTGAAAGAGTAGTGAAGTTCAGTGGTCACTAAACTCCCTGTTCAGTTTTCCAAATAACCTGAAAGTGCTCGCTTAGCCACCTATGGGGATTTACATATTTTGAAAAAGTAGGCAATAAATCAGGAAAGTCAGAAGTAGTATATAAGTTCTTCTCATTGCACCAGTGTACCATCCTAGAGCCCCGACTACTCAGGGTCAGTGTGCCAATTTCCTGGGACAATAAGGATTAACTGCACCTACACATTCTCCAAGCTGATAGTTCTTAAAATTTATAAAAATTTGGCATTTTTTAAATACACATTCCTAGGCTTCATTCTCAGATATTTTGTTATCTTTTCTGGGTTGTGTATTCAGGAATTTGTAATTTTTATGAAATTCTAAGGTGATTCTGATATGTTAGGCATTGGTAACTCATTTTGAGCAGAGACGGAAAGAATTTGGGAGCTAGAATTATATATAAATCCATATTTGTTTCCAGAAAGAAAACAAGTTTCATTTGTATTTTTTAAAAGCAACTTTGATCAAAATTGACATCAGTGGCTGTGGATATTGGGTCATATATGATTACATTAATAAAATGAAACAGTACATAACATTTAAGATAGCATCCTTTCCCTTCTCATATACTGTGAACACAAATTTCAAAAATGCTTTGCGAAATTAGGTAGGGCAAGTGGTTGTGGATGGACCTAAGAGGTTGCCCAAGATTGTTAACTGCTTTGGGTATGATATGGTTTGGATGTTTATTCCTTCCAAATCTCATGCTGAACTGTGATTCCCAATGTTGGAGATGGGGCCTGGTGGGAGCTGTTTAGGTCATAAGTGCAGATCCTTCCTGAATGGCTTGGTGCCCTCCTTGCAGTATGAGTGAGTTCTTCCTCTGAGTTCATGTGAGAGCTGGATGATTAAAAGAGTGTGGCACCTCCACTCTCAACTCTTGCTTCCCCTCTTGTTTGTGACATGCCTGTTCACGCTTTGCCTTCTGCCAATATGGTAAACTTCCTGAGCCCCTCACCAAAAGCAGGTGAGGGGCCTGTACAACCTGGAGAACCATGAGCCAATTAAAACTCTTTTCTTTATAAATTACCTAGCCTCAGGTTTTCCTTTATAAATAACACAAGAACAGATTAACACAGGGTAGTACTATGATTTGAATGTGTCCCCAAAAGCTCATGTGTTGGAATATTAATCCCCAATGCAACAATATTGAGAGGTGGGATGTTCAAGAGGTAATTAGTTCATGAAGACTCTGCTATCATTGATTAATGCCATTATCACAAATGTTAGTCTGTTATCTGGAGAGTAGTTTCCTGATAAAAGGATGAGTTTGACCCTTATCTCATCCCCTTTTTGTACGGTCTTCTGCTCTTATGTTTTCTTCCATAAGATGATGCAGCAAGAAGAACCTCACCAGATGCAGACTCCTTGATCTTGAACTTCCCAGTCTCTAGAACTACAATAAATAAAGTTATGTATTTTATAAACTACTCCATCTCTGGTATTCTGTCATAGCAGCCCAAAATGGACTAAGGCAGGTACTTTTAATTGTTTTTACTACCTGAGATAAGACTTACACAAAAGTTAACATTTTGCTGCCAAGATTTTTTAAAGCAAAGAGATCCTTAAAGGAAATGAACATGAATTTTCTCCCTTATAGATTGGTTTAAACTTTGTGGCCTACTCTATACAGTAGAATCAATTTCCAGAGCTCATATTAAAGAATAATGTGACGTTCAAAAAAGTAAAAGGAAAGAAATAAATACAACTCATTTTTCTTCTGTTTTCTCCACTAATGAGCAATAGAATGAAAATACAAGAATATATTTTGTTCTATTATTCAACTTTAACTGTATACATAAACTTCAAATGTTATGGTAAGACTAGTGAATAAAAGGGGCTAGTTTGGTTTGCTTGCTTTTTAGCATTAATCTTTTATAGAATAGACTGTTAATTTTCTAGAGGGTTGTAACTTGCTGTTATTTCGTAATATTACAAAGATAATCATAAATCTTATCTATAGGAAAAAGATTTACATGATTCCTAGCTTTCTCTATATATGGTCAAAGTTTTGAGAATGTAGAATGAGGAATTTTAAGCAAGAAGGAACTTCTTATATTACATATTTAGGTCACTCAGAGCAGAGAAAATACTCAGCCAACTATACAGCTTTGGAACTATTCAAAGGCAAGATGAAGACCTAAATTTCCCAAACTTCCAATTCTCTAAGATTGCTTCACTATATTATGTGAATTGCACTGGCAAAGTTTAGAGACTTAGGTTACTTAGGTTCAAGACCTAGTTTTTCCATTCATTTTGTAGCCTTGTTTCTGCTAAAGAATACAAGTTAAACTCTCCAATGCCTCAACATGTCGCTTAAAGTCGACATTTTAAAATGGCCCATCATTCCTGCAATGACTGTTCTCTCCCTGTTTTTTCTCTGACTTTCACTCTTGCTGCCCTCTTCAGATACACCCATACTGCCATCCTTGTCTTCGTTACTCAAGGACACTTTTCTTAGGCCACCGCAGAACCTTAGCATTTGCTGTTTCCTATACCTGTCAAGTATTTTCCTCTGATCACTGTAATTTATTTCCCTCACTTCCTTCCAATTTTTCCCAAATACCTGTATATTTTCTCTGAGGCCTTCTCTAGTTATACTGTGACTCTCCACTCCCCTCGTGCCCCCATGCCCCTCATTTATTATTATTCCTCTTCTCTGCTTTATTTTTCTTTAAAGCACTTATCAAAATAGTATAATGTATCATATATGTGTGTATATATTTATATTTAGTTTGTGTATGTGCATATGTGTAAATTTTATTTGTCTGTCTGCCTTCACCTGAATGTAAACCACATCCCCAGGGTAGGGATTTTTGTTTATTTTTGTGTATTCTGTACATTCTGTGTTCTGTGCCTAGAACAGAGTTTTGGATGTAGTAGGAGTCAAATATTTGTTGACTACTGAATACAGTACTTTATTATCCTCAGACCAATAAACCACAATAAAGAGAAACCAGTTTAAATTGCAATATTATTATATTTGAATAATTACTCATATCTTTGAAAATTAGATTTTCTTCAAGATTCTTAAGAGATCACTAAAAGTGGTTGACTGTTACATAATCTGTTTCCCATAATCAGGATTAACCAGATAACAAAAATCCTCCTCCCTCATTTAAGCCATAAAATAGAAATCACCTACCCAATAAGTGGGATGTAAACCACATACTCAAGAGAATACAGAATAATAAACCAAGATTTATGAAAACCAAAGAGTACAGAAAATAAAAAAGAGATAAAGGCATTATATCCTGGGGAAATTTATTTAATATTAAATTCACCATTTATCTTTCTTAGAAAACATTTTCCAAAGCTTAAGATCATGTTTATAGCCTATCAGTTTCATAATTCAACAGAAGCCTATAAGGCAGAAAGTAACATAGAAAGTACTTCTCATGTATTTGTATATAATTGTTTATGCCTGTACAATAATAATGCATTAAACTAGAAATAAAATGTGTTGCATGGCTAAGTAGTGGTAACTATTAAACGTGTTGACCAGTGCAATGGCAGGAAGAAAGGCCATTGAGGACTCCCTAAAGAGGGCCCAGTTTATGATATAATGCTCCAAATCTTCCAAAATCTAAATTTCCATATTGTTTTGTTTGTTCTCTATCTCTCAACCTTGCAATCAATAGGTCACAAAATCCTATCACAGATACCAAACTTCTCCTGGCTTCCATAGTCTTAAACCTAGCACTCACCATTTTTTGCTTGTACTTCTGCAACAACTTCATAGCTCCCTGCCAAACATTAGTGCTTCTCTAAGCGATCCATCACATTGCTGCCATATACATCTTGCTTTACACTCACAAAAACCTGTCACATGGGGTAAAATCCAAACTCCGCAGTTTCGCATACAATGCCCTTCAAAATGGAAACTAATTTTTCCAGTCATGTATACTATGCTTGCTTTACTCATACTAAGATCCTGATAGAAAGTATCACAGAGCCCTAAATTTAATGTGACTCTGTTTTCTAACTGTATTTGTCCAATGAGATATATTCAGAATTAACCTGCCATTCTTAACCCATAATAACTCTGTTCATTCTGAAGATATATAAAAAAAGTAAAGGTCTTCATGAAGTTCAAAGGTCTTTAAACGGAGCAAAATCATTTTTATATCTTAGGAGTCGAAATATCTAAAATTCAAGCAAACATATAAATGTAGGGGTAGTTTCTCGACTCATAATAGATTATGTATTACCTGAGTTCTTCCAATTTATAGAATTATATTAAAATTACTTCTAGATCTCAGTATGTTCCAAAATAATGCTGAAAAAAAACCTGTCAATATCATGGCTGAGTATCCCTCAAATTGCTTAGGATGACCTACTTTTTGTTTTGATGGATAAGCTTCTTTCAAACCTAAAGAGTAACAGAAATGTTTACGAGAATAAAACCAAAGACATTAACATATTGATGTCAGATATATTGCCATTTTATGTTCTAGTACAGTATTTTGTGTACTCGTAGTGTGCCTAAGTGAAGTAATATACAACTGAATAATTTAGATATGTAATTTTAAAGTAAAAATTTTATTAATTATATATATAGTATTGGAACTTGTAAACAAACTCAAGATGCCATATACTTAAACATTTATTGGAATTATTAAAATATTTGGGACATTTTGTTATTTATGTAACTAAAGTGCAGTACTTTAAAAGGGTAATCAAATATAATTAATTTATAAATGCAGTTTTTATACTTGAAGGTGTTTAATTGTTTAAATGATACCAATATTATTCAAAGACTTAAAAGCGGTTGTTAAAACAATGAGTGGATAGGGAGAGGGAGGAGAGGAGAGGAGAGAGGGAGAGAGAGACTGAGACTAAAGGTTTATAACGTTAGAGGTTTAATAAGGGAGCAGATATTTTGATTTGCAATTTTAATATATTATACATTAATTTTTAAAGGCAAAGAAACTCCTACACAGTTTTTTTCTGTTCACAAAAACCACCTTTGAAGACATCAGAAAGTCATTATGAAATAATCTTTAACTTCTTTATGCAAAGTTGTTCTTCCTATGATCTTATAATAAGAGTTTTCCTATATCTGTAAAGCTCTTTTTTCTTCCAGTTAAAATTCTGTTTTCTTCAGTGGACTATGAGCTGCTTAAAATCTTTTTTGTGTATTCATTATATACTCAAATAAGGTTTAATTGAATGAATTGCATCCTTCATCCTGAAACTATTTTGTGGATAATGGGATGCTTTGTTCTGTCCATACACTCTTGCTTCTCATCCTGTGTCACCATTTCTTCCTCATGCCCATTCGGCATTAGCCTTCCCTAGCACTAAGAGCCATTCCTCCACCCCGTGTTGCACCATAACCATTTCTTCCTCTGAGACCTACTCTCACAGTTTTAACGACTATCTCTCAAACCCATACCACTACTTCAGTCTTTGCCTTCAAGCGCCAGTCTCACATTTCTGATTACCTACCAGACATTTCTATTGAGGTGTCTTGTCTCACCGAATAACATGTTTTTTTTTTTTAAAGTCAAAATTATTTCTTCAAAGCCAAATTATCCTGTGGTTTTCTCAGTTTTTAACATGAGCAATACTATCCTTCCAGTAACCTACTATGGAAACTTGAAATCATTATCGATGTTTCCCTGTTCCCATCCATTGCCTCCCATTCTGGCATGTAAAATTTGGTAGGACCATATACTGCCCATGTCTGTGTCTAATCCAGTCAAATTTATCTGCTCATTTTCTTCAGATGCAATCACATTTTCACCTCCATACCCTTGTTCATACCTCAAATCCCTTGTCTTTTCTTCTCTAATTATGGAAATCCTATAAATCTTTTTGTGTCTTATAGTGTCTTTAGAAACTTCTCTCAATACTCAGTTTCATAGTGATTTATACTTCCTTGAAAATTCAATACGTGTTCCCTCTGTTCATTCATTCATTCCTTCCTTTGAAAACACTATAAATACTTACTATTCCAGACACTATGACAGTGACTAACAGATGCAAAGAGGGGCAGATACTTTAGGAATGACAAATGTGTGAAAGGGGTGAAGTGGGGATAGGAGTGGTGGTTTTAAATAAGAGTTGCTTTACTTAAATACATGCAATGAAAATATGCATATCATATTTACACTTAGCTAATATGTTCAATGTGTAATTAAATTTAGAAAGCAATAGTAAATAATTACATAATAGGTGCATTTTAAAATAATCACTGTATATTAAAATTAACTATAGTTATTTTAAAGTTTTCATAGCAAATAGCCAAAAAGTACTTAAAATATTAACTGACCACAGAGATATTATTAAAGACAATAAGACGATGGAAAGTCTTAAAGCCCAAATGTCTTGTGATTTTTGATATAAAATTAAATTGAAATATCTTTAATAAGTTAGAAAGGTGCTTAAAACATTTATAGTGGAAAGATAAAGTATGCGAACTGTTAAACCTTTATTTACAAATATGCTAACTTTGCCAGTGTCAGGTCCCTGCTTATGTTTCATTGTGTTACAATTATCAGTATTTTGTAAGCAAAATAATGGACATGTTATTCTATTTTCAAAGATTACTTACTTAATTAAAATTCTGAGTTAAGCAAAACAAAATACAATAAGTTTCTTTCTAAGCATAAAAGGACAGGTAAATCTACTTTCAAACAAGGTAGATAACTTACTAGTTTGTATTATGCATCAACTATGGGACCTGTAACACTACATGTAAACATTTATGCATCTGTATCCCCTTTTCCACTAGATAATAAGCTTATAGAGACTAGGGAGCATATCAAATATCTTCTTAAATCCATTTTGCTTTGTACAGTACCTTATTAAAATATTTATTGATGGCTATGGAAGCAGAAGGTATTAGGTAAATACTTCCTCTGCTTAAAGAAATTATTATAAGCTTTAATAAAGAAATAAAGCTTAGGAGTAAAAGTTTTACTAGCCACTCCATATTTGATTTAAAAGTGGCAATACAGTACATATAAAAAAAGGTATCTGCTTCACACAGGTTTTAGGACACAAGTTCAATGTACAAAAATCAGTTATATTTCTACATACTGGCAATGAACAATCAAAAATAAATTTAATAAAACAATGTCACTCACAATAGTATCAAAAAGAACAAAATAGAAATATATTTAACAAGAGTAAGACTTGTACACTGGAAACTACAAAATATTTTTGAAAGAAATTAAAGATCTAAGTAAGTGGAAAGACATGCTCATGTATTGGAAGATAATACTGTTTAAATGACAGTGCTTCCCAAATTGATCTACAGATTCAACACAATCCCCATCAAAATCCTACTGCTTATCGTACAGACGATCATAAAGTTCACATGGAAATGCAAGAGACTCAGAAGAGTCAACATGATCCTGAAAAAGAGCAAAACTGGAGGACTCACACATTATGATTTCAAAATTGCCACAAGTTGCAGGTATCAAGATAGTGGGGACTGGTATTAGGACAGAGATATGTACTGATGAAATTGAATTAAGAGTTCAGAAATAAGAACTCATATTTATAGTCAATTGTATTTCAACAAAGGGCCAAGACCATTCCATAGGGAAAGAATAGATGTTTCAACAAATGGAACTGGAATAAACTGGATGTCTCATGCAAAAGAAAAAACTTGGGCCACTATATCATATCACATACAAAAATTAACTCAAAATATATCATAGACCTAAATGTAAGAGCTAAAACTCTAAAAATCTTAGATGAAAATGTAAGAGAAAAGTTTTGGGACCTTGGGTTAAGTAATGGTTTCTTAGATACAATAAAAGTTCTAAGCACAGAAAAAGTATAGATTCAAAAAATATAAAACTCTTATTCTAGAAATGATAACATCAAGGAAGTGAAAATAAAACCCAGAGGGGGGCAGAAAATATTTGCAAATCATAGATCTGATAAAGGATTTATATCCAATTTATATAAAGAAGATTTACAACCTAAAAATATAGAAAAATAACCCGATTTAAAATGATCGAAAAATTTGAAAGGACATTTCTCCAAAGAAGATCTATAAATGGCCAACGAGCACAGGAAAAGATGCTTGTTATTAGTTATTATAACTATGCAAATCAAAAACATAATGAGATATCACCTCACATCCACTAGGATTGCAATAATAACAACAGCAGCAGCAGCAATAATAATAAGAATGATAACAAATAACATGAAATAAGTGGTGGTGAAGATGTGGAGAAATTGAACCCTCGTATATTGCCAATGGAGACACTAAACAGTATGGTCACTTTGGAAACTAACTTGGTAGTTCCTGAAAGTGGTAAACATAGAGTTACCAAAGGAAGGATCATTTCTATTCCTAGGTATATATATATATATATATGTATATATCCAACAGAAATGAAAAAAATTATGTCCTCATAAAATCTTGCTCACAAAGTTCATAACAGCATTATTCATAATGGAGGAAAAGCGGAAACAACTGAAATGTTTATTAATTAATCAATGGATAAATAAAATATGGTACACCTAGACAATGGAATATTATTTATCAATGCAAAGGAATAGAAGTATCAGTTCAAGCTACAACAGTGGTAAATCTTAAAAATATAATAGTAAGTGAATGAAGCCAGTTACAAAGATCACATATCATATGTTTCCCTTTATGTGAAATGTCTAGAATAGGCAAATTCATAGAAAGATAAAGTAGATTAATGGTTGTCAGAGGCTGAGAAAAGGGGGAAGTCGGGGGTGACTACTATTGGATGTACAGTTTCTTCTTAGAGTGATGAAAATATCCTTAAAATAGATAGCCCTGAGGGTTGAATAACTTTGTGGATATATTTAAAGCACTGAATTTTACATGTTAAAAGCATAAACTTTATGGTATTTGATTTATAACTCAATAAAGCTGTTATATTTTTAAATATATGAACTTGCTTCAGGAAGTAGAATAGGTATTTTTCAGCAAATAAGAAACAAAAAAAATTCAGAGACTAGACTTTGTGACACGTACATGATGTCTTTTTCTGAAAAGCTAAATTATATCTCAAGATTCTAACCATGCAGCAGGAGCCAGCCTTTATGCACAGCCAGCCTTCCTACCAAAGAAACAGAATTCTTTGAATATGCTTCAAAGTTTCTTAGTTCCTACTGGTACATGGAAGAAAGAAACAAGAAGATATAGTCTCTGTCACTCGGGCAAATGTTAAGTGTCTATGAGCATTTTTCATATTGTACCTAAAACCTTGTAGAAATGAGAAGTGATATGAAATGAAATTCATGAATTACCCACATGCAGTATGAGACCATTACCTAATTTTGGTAGTGATTATTTACTTCTTTTTTCTTAAATCTGCTAGTAATTCTTCTGAGAAGTTACAGTAAAATTGCTTTTCAACTTTTCTCATTTCCTGAAATCCAGTCTCGTAGCTTTCAGTTATAATTGTAGGACAGAAAGTGTAAAGTAATAACAATAATACAACAATAAAACCCCGAAGTGCCTTTGGTGTAACCGAAGGTGTTACAAAGTGCCTTGTTAAGCAAATGGCATAATTAAGATTTAACTGTGTCTAGAACATTTTTAAAATTTAAATCTTGATTTTATTGGCTACTATCAATGCCACTGCAGGATTTTAAGAATATTAATATTATGATAAAAATATGAGGAAACAGTTTTCAGGTGCAAATATATTCCGATAACATCAGCTATTATGTTTCAAAATAGTTACAAAAATATATGAAGTTTAAAAACAAAAAAAGAAAAAGTATTTTTTCAAAGATGCTAATCATAAAGATCTTAATTTGCATTATAATATCGGCAGATTCTGCATTATAAAAAGTGAAATAGCTAAATGAATACTAAGTGAGTCCCAAATGTGTCTCACCAGGCTAAAATCAAGGTGTCTGCACAGCTACATTCTTTGGGAATGAAAAGGAAAATTTATCTTTTGATAATTGCAATTGTTGGTAGAATTCAGTTCCTTGCAGTTCTCTGAGGTTTTTGTTATCTTGCTAGCTTTAAACTGAGAGGTATTGCCACCTTGTAAAGGCATCCACATTTCTTCACTCATGGCCCAATCCCTCCATCTTCAAATTCAGCAATGGCAGGGCCTGTCTTTCTTAGGGCACATCCCTCTGATCTCCCTTCTGTCTCCCCTTTTTCCCTTTTAGGTCCCATGTTATCACTCTGGCCTTACCCAGATAATCCTCAATCCCTCATTTTAAAGCCAGATAATTATAGCCTTTAATTCCTCTTTCCCATATAATTCCTCTTTCCCCATTACATTCCTCAGGAATGTAACATATGCATAGGTTTGGAGGATTGGGGCATGGATATTTTTTGGGGGGGGGGATATTATTCTGACTACCACAAAAATATAATCAATGTAGTTGAAAAATGAGGGGAGGGTATTCTCTTTCTTCCTCAATTAAATAATTTTTCTTTTTAAAAATGAAATCATTCAGATATTTTCCTTAGCTTTTTCATTTAGATAGAGATAAGAGAAAGAGATCTGGGATACCTTAGAAGTAAAGTAAAAGTCAAACTATTTCTATTCATTCATATGTAATTTTTATTAACTACTTTGTGTCAAATTGTAGACTAGGCATTCCATAAATAGAAATAAAATAGAGAAAGATCCTGCCTTCTGCAGGCATAGAGTCTAGTGAGAAAAATGAACAATAACTGCATAAATACATATATAAATGTACAATTACAATTTATAATGAGTGCTATAAAGAAAATAAATAGCATTCAGTGATAGAGAAATCTGCTGACAGGATGATGGTGCAAAGGCAGAGTGAACTACAAAGGATGGTCAAGGGTTATCTTAACTGGTAATGACCTGCAAGATTTCATTTCCAGACATGGGAGTGAGGAATCCCTCCATGTAGCAAACAATTTTGTCATTGAGGCATCTTTTATTACAGATTGCACCAATGTGACCTAAGGAAATGCAGTATGAGACCAGCGAAGGACCACCTGCAGAATAAAAAGTTAAAAAAGTAGAAAACATGCCTTTGCATGTCGACTGCCACCCTAGCTCTTGCTGGACCATTATTACAGTAGTCTCCACACCAGTCTTCTCACTCCTGCCATGGCTTGCTGGCATCTATTCTTACATATCAGCTAGAATTATCTTAAAAAACAGAATCAAAACCAGCCAGGCAAAACCACCCCTCTGGTGAAAGCACGTGAATGGCTTCACATAGCATTCACGGTGAATAGTTCATAGTTGCAAGTCTTTGGAAGATCTTAGAAGGCCCTATATGACCTCCTTCTCAGACCATGCACTCCCTTGCGCTAGAGCATCATCTCCTACCTAGCACATTTCTTTGCTCACTGCTCCAGCTGCAATAGCCTCTTTGCTTTTTGAAAGTGCACCCACCTCTGGCCCTTCTGCTCAGCCCAGCTCTAGTATGGCCTACATAACATACAGCAGCTCTGGTTCCTAATAGTCTCTGTCTTGTTGTCTGTCTTAACATGCCATATTTATATTTTCACAAAGTTTGCCACCTGACATATCCTTTTATTTGTTCTGTTTGTTTATTGCCTGCCTTTCTGTATTAGAATGAAAGTTCGATGCAAGAAGTGGGATTCTCTGATTTCTTCCCTAATGAATTCCTATCAATGCCTGAGGCATGGTAGAAGGTCAATAATTTTTACTGAATGAATTAATGAAAACAGCTTTCAGGAAAATTGCAAAGGCTACTTCTTACCTAAGGAGCTGTGCCCTTGGGTAAGATTTATAGATAGTCATCTGGATTCTGGTCCTAACTTAAAACCTACTTCAACACATATAATAGGTCACTCATTACCCTTAATCTTCAGGTTATTCTTCTATAAAATGAAGAAAATTATTTCTATTTTATCTTCAGAATATTTAGGATCAAATAAGAGAATACATGTAAAATTATAAAATGCTACAAAGACATAAAATGTAATTATTCATCTGTGTATTTCTTAGTAGTTTATAATTCTTGACTTTTAGCTTTGTTAATGTTAGATTGCATAAGCAACATTCATAAAGTACAATAAAAATAATCATATTTTTTGCATCTCAGAGTACTTTCAAATTTTTTCTGCTGGGTTAATTTTTCCTTACTTTTCAAAAAATTTAGACAGGTCCTATGACCTTTCTGTGTATTTTTAAGCAATAGAGTGACTTATGATCACATTCTTAAAATTCAACAATTTTAAAAACCTCTAACCTTAGTGAAAATTCAAACTCTGGCCCTGGTTAGATATTGAGGCTTCTACCCTCCTCTAATCTGGGCCTTTTGCAGGTGGGAAATCTACAGCTGGGAAAATATAGTTGACTTTTTCTCTCATTATCAGGCCATGACTATGATTTCTGCTCCCTCAGCTTCCTAACCGGGATTGCTGGCTCCCTCAGGTTTGGAGCACAGAAAGGCAGAAGAGGAAAACCCCTTCATTGTTCCTGGTCCTAGATTTACAACTTTCATGCGTTCTCTGGAGACCATGACATTCCCCCACCTCCCAGCATTGCACACATTTTTATGGATGTTCTCATTACACAGAGTTCATATTTATTCTACCAGTTTGCTAGCTTCTTCCTGAACCCCTGGCATTCTATCAGGACCTTCAGATTCTCTCTACTGAGATATGTCTACGTGCTTCAGAATGGGACCAGGTTGACCCAGACAAGAGATATTCTGTCTTCTAAATGGCTTATATCTGGTCCATGGGACACATATATAATTTCCACATAAACACTGCGAGTTCAAATCATATAATGTAGCCTCAATCTTTCCTTTAATTAGCTATAAAAGCACTTAGTCAATCATGCATAAATTTTCCAGGTATGAAAAAATCAGTCACTACACTTCTGAGTCCTCCAACCTATAGAAAATACATATTATGGGCCGGGCACGGTGGCTCACGCCTGTAATCCCAGCACTTTGAGAGGCTGAAGTGGGTGGATCACCTGAGGTCAGGAGTTTGAGACCAGCCTGGCCAACATGGTAAAACCCTGTCTCTACTAAACATACAAAAATTAGCTGGGCATGGTGATGGGCATCTGTAATTCCAGCTACTCAGGAGGCTGAGGCAGGAGAATCACTTGAATCTGGGAGACAGAGGTTGCAGTGAGCCGAAATTGTGCCACTGCACTCCAGCCTGGGCAGTAGAATGAGACTCCACCTCAAAAAAAAACAAAACAAAACAAAAACAAAAACAAGAAGAAGAAAATACATATTATGTTATCCTCTCTCGGTCGAGGTGAGGCTGAATTCTTCTCCAGCTCTCCTTGGTAGGATAGGATGATGTGCTGTAACAGTAAGACTCGTAACACATTAAGAGCTTTTACAGAGAAGTCTTCTCCAAAATGTCTCTAACCTTTGGCAGACTTATGTTCTTGATGTAAGGACATTTGAGAATAGTATAAGCAGTTACTATATCCTCCTTTGATGATTTTTCATTTTAGAATTTTATCTATTTTAGAGTGTAATCGGCATTGCATCTTATTGCTACAACTTAAACTTTTTCATTTGCCACCCTTTTACATTTGTATTTAAAAAATCCTGCAACCTCGTGTGTGTGTGTGTGTGTGTGTGTGTGTGTGTGTGTGTGTGTGTATGTGTGTGTGAGAGAGAGAGATTATATTGAAGTCCTATCTGCTTTGGTATAGTTACTATGATGATTTTATAGCTGATCTCTTTGCCTATTTTTTCTCCTTCTTCAACTATATCTTTCTAAAGTCAACTTCCTTAACTTCTCTATGCATGTAAGTTACTTGCTCAGAAAATTTTAATGGTTCCCTTTACTTACTGGAAAAAACTGAACACTTCAGCATCCCTATGTCTTTGCCTTATTGTAAGTATTTAACAGGAGATGATTATGGCAAAGTTATTCCTAAAGGATTATAGAAATCATATGCAAATAGGTAAAGAAAGTATTTCAAATGGTCACCACAAATTTTACTCCTTATTTGGTAGTGCACCAAAAGGCATCCTAGGATGTGATGCTCTTTTCCATTGCCTAGTGTCCAGGAAAAAACAGGATATTCTTTTATAAAGACTCAAGTCCCTGAAGGGATATTTGATTAAAGTTCAGGTTCTAAGTTGCAGTGAATTTCCTGTGTTTGCTGCTTATGACTAAATCTCCCAATTACTTTTCCAAAGGGAGCTAATTAGTAAGAATTATCCCCTCAATGGATTTTACAAACAGAAAGCCACACTGAATGTCTCCAATCTCCATTTAGTTCCAGGAAATAACACTTCTCTAGGACCATTCCAAATGTGGGTTGAGATTTTCAGTTGCCACTCAGTAATGTTTGATTCCTTTTGACTACTGATTTGTCTTGACACTTCAGTGAGCTTTGCACCTCATATGAAGTTGGCTGACAAGAATATGTTGGTCTACACAGGCTGGACCTTCTAATTTTAGACCAAGGAATTAAACTATTTGCTGCCTTAGACAATGACTTAATTGCTTCTCCACATTAGGACAGTGATTTTCTGTAAAATAAAATTAACCAAAAACTTTTTTTAAAAATGCCTGATCCTATTTCTAGACTCTGATTTTATTAATTTGGGGTGGGAAACAGACATTGGCATTTTTTAACAGCTTCCCAGGTGATTTTAATGTGCAAAAAGATTAAGAATCACTGCATTAAACTGACTATAATTTTATTCCAGACATGGATATTCTAGTCTTCCTAGCATTTAATAAAATTCTCCTGAAATATGCCTGGATGTGACCCTGAATTAAAAGATACTGACATGTTAAAATTTTTTGTATTTCAAAATTACATATCTGTAAGACATATGGTTTCAGGAAATAGATTCAGTCATTATCATAATTTTATGATGTCCAGTCATAAAACTTGTATTTCTCTCCATCATTTAAAAATAGGCTCAGGAAAGGGAGACTCGTTCACTCAGTTCTCCATCAATCTAACATAATTGGCCGTGGGCTACCAGAATCATACAACAAGCATTTATTTCTTCCTATCCTAATTCAGCTCTCCGAGAAGATAGATGTGCTTTAGCTCAGTGCTTTTATATTTTTCGAGACAAGATACCTGCTATCAGTCAGTTTAGATATGTGGTTATAATTTAATAAATCTTTGACCCACAGTTATTCTATATATTCATTTATATAATTATATCTTCTGTGATCCCTCTAGCCTGAGTTAGGTAAAATGTAACATGTAAGAGGTGGCAGACATTATGAAATCTACATTTTCTTTAAATCTGTTTTTATTTCATGAAAATCATTGTGGGAGGCCCCATTTGACCTAATGATGTAGTCCTATAAAGGCTTGAATTTATCCTAACAGAGTCCTTACCCTATAGTTTTTGTTATGGACTGAATGTTTGTGTCCACCTCAAAAATTCATATGTTGAAGCTCTAACCCCAAATATATTTGGAGATGGGGCCTATGAGGAGGTGATAAAGGTTAAATGAAGTCATGAGGTGGGTTTCCGATCAACAGGATTGGTGTCCCTATAAGATGAGACCAAAAAGCTCATTCTCTCTCTCTCCACAAGTGCACAATGAAGACAGAGGTATTTCTCTTTCTTGAGTGTTTTTCCCCAGATGGTGGAATGGAAGCTTTGTTAGCACCCCTCACCCAATTGGAAACAGCAAAATAGTGTGTAGAGATTGATACTGTGAACTTTTATCCAAGAAGGAACACAGGAGTTCAACATTAAAGCAAAAGAAAATTTTGGATAACAGAAAAAAGAAAATGGGCAGAATCCTTTGTGGTGAGATCCAGCAGAAAATTGTGAGTAAATTCCTAGTGTGTGAGAGCAGGTGAGTGTCTCTGCAATACACATTCCCACCAGATAGCCAGGCAATCCAGGCCGCAGGGGAGCGTCCTGACCCTACCACACCCCAGATCTGACTTGGGGAGTAGCAGAGAGACGGAGCAGGAATGACACTAGGAAGGATCTCACACCTGGGTGCCACACCAATCCTAGCTCAGAGAGGGCTGTATGGGAACCTAAGCAGCTAGCAGGAATGACAGTCACTGCTTCAGAGTGTCTTGGGCTGGGTTTTGTGATCTTGTCTTGAATTAGGGAGGAACTCCCAAAGCCAGAACTGAGAGGTGACTGTGGGATGGGCTCCAGCATGGGCCCTCAAGTTGTGTGCTTCCCCTTTGTGGGACTGGACTGAGAGGGTTTTAGCCTGAGAGGTGTGGTTTTGACCCGGGTGGCGAATGTGGACCTTGGGCAGTTACGTGGTCTGAAGGCAAATTGTGTGTGACTCAGCTAAGTATTCTGACTTAGCACTAGCTTTGGGTGGCGGGAGAAAGCCCTGCCAGGTTGGCAGTATGACAGTGCATCAGGTCCCAATATCACTTGCTAGGCTGTGGAAACCAGGCTGCACCTCTTTCTCCATGCTGGGTCTTTGACACAGCAGTGGTTGCTCCACCCCCTGCTGGGGCATTTCTCCAGAGGCCCGAGGACTGTCCTCTGATCCCCATTGTGGCCAGCACTTGTGCCCATCATTGGACTTGAGTGCAGGCTTTCCCAGCCCAGCCCAGCGTAGAGTTAGTGGGTGCAGCGCACCAGCATGGCACATGTATACATATGTAACTAACCTGCACAATGTGCACATGTACCCTAAAACTTAAAGTATAATAATAAAAAAAATAATAAAATTAAAAAAAAAAAAGAAATGTGTGTACTATTCAATGGAACACTATCCACCCATAAAAAGAATAAAATCATGATTGTTGCAGCAACATGGATGAAACTGGAAGCCATTATCATAAGTGAAACAGCTCAGAAGCAGAATGTCAGATACCACATGTTCTCACAAGTGGACACTAAATAACATGTATACATGGAAATAGAGTGTGGAATAATAGACACTGGAGATCAGAAGGGTGGGAGGGTGGGAGAGGGGTGAGAAATGAGAAATTACGTGATGAGTACACGGTCCAAGAATTCGAACAGTATTTGTAATCTTTCTATGCCACTCACCTTCTCATTGACTTTATTCTACCAGTCTGGTTATCTCCAAAACCCAACACTACACGTACTTCTGGGCTTTCATTCATAAAGCCTAGACTCAAGAGGAAAGAGATCCCCTTTTAACAAGTTTCCCTTATAAAAACCCTGGAAAAGGATTCCAGTTGATAATACACCTGTAATCCCAGCACTTTGGGAGGCTGAGGTGGGTGGATCACCTGAGGTCAGGAGTTCGAGACCAGCCTGGTCAATGTGGTGAAACCCCGTCTCTACTAAAAATACAAGTGACATGTTCATTACTGGGCCAATTGATGGGGTTCGTGTGGGATGCCATGATTGGCTGGTCTAGCTTGGGTCATACACTCAACCTTTTGGGCTGTGTGTGTATGTGTGTGTGGGAGGGGAGTGGTGAACAGGTGGATGTGTGTGTGTGTAAAAATAATAGTAGTTATGTTCTGAATATATAAAACAACACAGGTGGCTTATAGAGTAGGTCTAGGGATTATAGTGCTGTTTTTCTCTCCTTTAGCAAACAGTGTTACAGACTACATTTTAATTAGCCTTCTATGAAATATAGTTTAGTATACAGTAGGTCCTCGAATAAAATTGTTTTGTTCAATGTTGTTTTATTATAATGTTGATGAGAAAAAAAATAATTTCTGGCCAGAGCCACTGTCTGTTTGGAGTGTACATGTACTTCTCTCATGGGTTTTCTCTGAATATTCGTTTCCTTCCACATCCCAAAGATGTGCACATTACATGAATTGACATGTCTGAATGATCCCCGTCTGAGTGAGTGTGTAGGAGTGTGTGTGCCCTGTGATGGAATAGTGTCCTATTAGAGTCAGTTCCCACCTTGCTCCCTGAGCTGCAGGGATAGGCTCCAGCCACCCAAAACCCTGAACTAGAATAAGCTGGTTGGAAAATAAATGAATGAATACAAATGATTGTAAAATAAAAATTCTTAAAGGAGATAATAATCCTACAAATGCAACAAGAAATGATGGGGTACTAAAGCTCTCCTCTAGTCTGCCATATTTTTCATTGTTTGATTTTGAACTGCATGGTGGGAAGGGGTGCTCCTTAAGATTTTCGCTTTGTAAACCTTTATTCCTTCAGTGGACTCACCACCACAATCACTGTCACTCACTAATTCACCAAAATTGAGTAAATAATTACCTTACTTGTTTTTATTTATCTTTCTTAAAAGTATGCATAGGTCACATTTATTTCAATGTTTCATGTTAGAATTGTTCTGGGTCTTTATTTAGAAGTTTGGTAATGTTTCTCTGACCAGAAATATGCCCTAAGAACTTAGCTCTTGTTTATATCAATTAGCCTATGGGAAAGTTGGTTTTATTATATGTAATTTCCTTTGAAGTGGCGGTTTCCAAGAACCCAGCAATGACCTTAAGTAAGGATTTACTATAGTTTCTAAATTAATCATTTTCCACTCATTTGATAAGGTGGCTCTTCAGAATGTCCACAACTTGGTTAGATTGATGAGATTAGGAAGTAAAGAATTAAATGGAGAGAAGCTTTCCTAAATCTTGTAAGTAAAAGACAGCACCTGCCTCCAATTGTTATAAATATTTTAAAACATTTTTTGGTTTTAAAACAGATTTTTTATGTCTCAACTGCAGGTAAATGTACACCTTATCTTTCCAGTTCCTGATTTGACAAATGAGCTTTAAATAGTTTCATGAGGGAAAAAAACCAAAATAGAATCCTGAAAAGACTACCAGTTACGTATGCAATTTTAATTTTATAAAAAAATTATAACATTAGGCCAGGCGCGGTGGCTCATGCCTGTAATCCCCGCACTTTGGGAGGCTGAGGTGGGCAGATCATGAGGTCAAGAGATCGAGACCATCCTGGCCAAAATGGTGAAACCCCGTCTCTACTAAAAATACAAAAATTAGCCAGGCATGGTGGCGGGCACCTGTAGTCCCAGTTACTTGAGAGGCTGAGGCAAGAGTATCACTTGAATCTGGGAGGCAGAGGTTGCAGTGAGCTGAGATTGTGCCACTGCACTCCAGCCTGGCAATAGAGCAGGACTCCATCTCAAAAAATAAATATATATTATATATATTTATATATATATATATATCATTCAAATGATATATATATATAATTCAAATGATATATATATATATATCATTCAAAACTCAAACATAACTCCTTGTGGGGGACTCAGGACCAATAATGAGATTAAACCTAGGCACTGAAATTATGTCCTCAGGAGAAGAGAAATTGTAGGAACACAGAAACCAAAAGTCATCCATGGAGCTTATTTTTCCCAGGTTTCCCATGTCTTCGTGTAAGTGCTTTGGATTTCACATACCCAAGAGATTTTCAGTCTAAAGTTTAAAAATCTATCCTCAAATAGCTTGTTTTGCTGGAAAGCTTACATTGAAACAATAATTAAGATTATTTTGCCATTGTTTAAAACTTCAAGGGGTCTAATTATTGTCACCTTGGTAACTGTAATTTTGCTGTGACCTTACCTGGAAAAACTCATACTATAATTTAAGTAAAATAAAGAAGTCATCTTCCTTGAAATGACAAAACCATTCCTTTGCTTATAAATTACCTGTTGGATTCTTAGTGCAATCATTAATGAAGAATAATTAGAGAAACTGCTTTCAATATTGTATGTGGTCAAAGTTATAAATAAGCCAAAAATAACATATTCTTTGCACGTGTCAATGAGTACTGCTAGGTTTTTGAATTTCTGGACAAAAAGTCTGCACTAAACTTGAGTTCAACATAGAAGCCCTACAATTAGCTGCCTGAATATAACCTGTGTGTTAATAGCATTGCAAAAGACAAGTTCAGCAAGAATGGTCATCAGAGATCAGATGATAATTTCAAGCTATGCAAAATGCAACTCTTTTCTGAACTGCCCTAAAACAAACAAATTCATTTCAATGACTTGAAACTGCTTTCAGTTGACTTCTATGCTCCCATTTCATAGCAATTAAGATAAGCATATTTCTCTATAATGATGTAGAGTCATTGCCACTGACCAGTAGTAGCCTGCTTTCGAAGGATAAAACTTTTGGCTTTTCACAAAGGTTTCTAACTAAGTAGTTATTTCTGACATGTCTTTTCAAATTACCCACTCTAACCCCTAAAGAATGACAAGAAAATGAAAATCTGCAAATTAAAAATAAGACCATCAGTCACCTAGACTCTGTCAAGATGATCCACTAATTATAAGCCAAATGAACTATATTGTGAAACAAAGATGAAAGCAAGTCATCTATTTAATTCAAATATAATATACTAAGATTTTAAGCATACTTAAAATATAATACATAATTTAAGGCATCATAAATCAATGAGAAGGATATATTTTTCCATATATAGAAAATTATTCAATTATTTTGGAAAAAATGTCCACTTAATTCTTTATAGAATGCCATACAAAAAAAAATCTCAGATGGATTGAAAAGATAATTGTAAATATTCAAACCACACAATGGGGGATGGAGGAAGCAGATGGTATGAGTCTGATATCTTGCTGAGTAACGGCTTCATTCTTTAGAAGTCAGTAGAAGAAATCATAAGGAAAGTGATTTGACTGTATTGAAATTACTACTTTTTCTAAGTCAAAACAAAATAAATCTAAAAAGTAAATCATCCATTAGATAAACATGATTAAAAAATATGACAAAAGATTAAAATCCTTGGCATGGAAAGATCTCGAAAAATTGATTAAAAATACTAGGCTTTTAAAATATAAATGAGAGAAAAATATGCATAATTAGAAATAAAAGAGAAAAATGAATTATTTGGTACTAGTAATAACAGAAATGGAAACTGGCACTATTTTTTTCCTATAGTTATCAAAAGTTTACAGCAATGTAACTCCTTAGTAGTGATAAGTGGAACAAGGAGTTACATTTTTGTAAATAGGCACTTTCATAACTTCTGGTGAAAGAGTAAAACGGAAAAAAAAATTTAATAGTAAACAGAAATAACATTTAAATACTTTAGAATGCTACAGACTTTAGTATAGCGATTTCATTTTTTTTAGAAATCTATTTATTGCATTTATTCCAACACTTAAAAGGGCAAAAATGGAAAAGGCCAAAAAATGAAGAGTTATTGGAATATTTGCGTAAGTTAAATGATAACATTAAAATACATTTATAGAGTTATAAAACGTATGTAAAATAAGAGGAAATCATCAAAATATCAACAGGAATTTTATTCAAAGTAGTAAGATTACGAATGATTTTTCTTTTTCTTTTCCAAGTTTTGCATAAGAAGTAGGTAAGTTTATATAATTAGACAAAAAGAAGCAATTGATTTAAAATTCCCTGTAAATCAAAGTGGAAAATATATGTATATAATGATTTGACAAATATCCAATTCATATTTTATGTTTTCTTCTTGAATCAGCCTAGAAACTGAAGACTCCATATTTGGGCCACAATCCTTAATATTCTTCATAACTGCCTCCCTGGGCATTTATGGTTTACGTTCTCAGCTTTCATCAAAAAATTATTTCAAAACAGGCTTATTTGCATTTGGTTTACAGAAGCTGTTGAAGAGAGTGAAGTCCTATGTGAGGCACTGCTTTAGAAAGGAATGCTAAGAAGGGAGACTGGCTTGTCTTATTGCCCTAATATATAAGACCTAAGTAACTGGTCAAATTTTTGACTGGGTTTCTGAAAGCCTGAAACCAAATTCTTAAGCTCAAATATAGTAACTGATATTTTTGTTAGTTTTCCCTTATTAGGTATTGACTTTTTTTACTTGCTAATTTTTTATTATACATTTAATATTTATAATATACATATTTTATTTCTCCAAGTTTCTTTAAACCCTTTGTGGAAGAAGCCAGAAGCTGGACGGATAAGATCAGGGGTCAGTAAACTATGGTTTGGCCCTTGAGCCTATTTTGGTTCAGTATTTGAGTGAAGAATTCTTTCACATATTTAAAAAATTAAAATACATATATATATATGTAACATGCATACATACATATATACAGAAAACATAAACAAGGAAGAATATGCAAAAGAGACATACATGGCCCACAAAGCCTAAAATATTTACAGAAAAAGTTTGCCAAACCCTAGATTAAATAGACGGCTAGATGGTTAGTCAGCTACATCTTTAGAGTTTCTCAAAATCCTCCACTACAGGAATACATACTCCTATACAAATTCCTCTGTTAATACAATATATACTCCTCTCTTTATAATATATTGTTCAATCTATTATATCAGTTTATTCAAGCATCTATCCAAGAGTTATCCTCTTAAATATGCCAGGCCCACGCATCTCTCTATTCTGTATATACAGGTCATTCCACTTGAAATTTTCTTTACCCTTTCCTCTATTATTTCCTGGTTTCCCTGGCAATTCCAGCCTGAGTGAGTGCTTAATTATAGGATTTCATCTAGAACTCACAACCTGTAATGTGGCACTTGTAAGAACCTGTCACTAATACTGAGTTAGATTGTGTACATGACTTGTCCCACAAAGAGGCTGTAAGCCACTTAGGTGCAAGGATCACATTGTATGTCTTTTGACAGTTCCTAATTCCCTATACTTTGCAAGTTTCCTATAAAGCACTTTCGTAAAGTGTGGTGGAACTACAGATACTGCTTGTTAAAAACACAGATTTTTGAGCTCCTTTCGAAAAGCCCTCAATTATAATCTCTGGGAACCGAGCTTGAGTATTGATGTTTTTTTTTAACATGTGTCAAAAGTGACTTTTAGTTGAACTAAAGTTGGAGAAAGATCTATGTTTGTTGATTCATTATAGGTATACTATATCATGCACATCTAACCCTCAGTCCCAGGGAACTATGATGAAGAGGATGCCCATTCTACTACTGATTATTCCTTACTCTCAAGAATGAATGCCATAGGCCACAGAATGATGTGCTTGTTAGGCCTTGGAAGTTACTTTTGGCTTCTACAGGCCAATGTTTTAATTAGGACCAGCCCAGGATGTCAACCATTGAATGTAATAAAGATCTCTGCAGTATAATTCTTGCCACACCATGTCTCTTTTATCACAACTTTATAGTTAGATGATTTCAGAGAAATTGGTTTATATTCCATTTCACCTAAATTCACTATAAGTGAATCAGAAACCCTATGATCATCCTGTGATTGGCCTGTTGAAAAAGGCAGTAGGATTTATGAACGTTGGGTACAAACTGGCATTCATGACTACCATAATATAAAGCTGACTGTGAGGTTACAGAGCAATGACTTATATTTTGAGTGTTTTGCAAAGACCAAATGTCACAACATAAAGCTGTCAGATAATTTGAGTATAAATAACAGTTGATGCTTGAATGCCTCTTTCCTTTACTTAAATTAACTTAAATTGTTTTAATGTAGTCGTATGCAAAGGCTGTCACCCTTTTAAGTGTCCAACTTCTAACAAATAAATAAATAAATATATAATATTTATCTTGTTATTTTAATATTTTTTTTTATATTTACTACAGGGTTTACTTGGCTTTTAAAAATGTACGCAATGTGCCTAATAGATGTATTTTGATTATTAAAATTTGACATTAAGAAACTTTATTATTTTTTCTTATAAAGATAACATATAGAATCAAAAATAATTTAAACTATATAGGAAATTTTGTTTCCAAAATAATGTAAAATTGCTTTTGTGATAAACTCCATGGATTTACAGTTTATCAGAATGCTAGTAAGAATCATCCTCTCCAGTAGGGCAAAGTATCAATGGTTTTTATAACACACTTCCAAAATAAGCATGCATTATATGTAATAAAATCACAATTCAAGGTAGAATAATTTAATAGCGGACACAGTTTTTGTACATACCTCCTACGTAAAATACTAATTTACCTAAGTCTTCCCATGAAAACTAAGAGAGAAAACCAAATTTTAATATCACATGGGCAATAAGCTATGTTTAAAAAATTCTCTCTCTTCTTACTCATTTAAGTGTGCTTTACTAATAGCAAAGGCAGTAGAAATGTACATATTTTTAACACATGCCCCCTATCACTTAGACAATATTAAGTATAGCCATCTTCAGATAGTCAAGAAAAACAACTTAAAACCAAGGTGAATGATGATATGTATGTTTAAAAGGGCTATTTAGCCTAACCTTCTTTATAAAATGAATTGAAAAAACATAGTTTTTGAACTTTACATGTAACCGTTACATTCACATTTCTTGTGAAATATGGGGTAAAATATATTAAAAAATAACTGAATAGTCAAAGGCTTTGCATAAAAATAAAAATATAAATCCTGATGATCAATGCTATTTTATTTATTTACTTAATTAGCTGTGCACTTGGCTTTGAAAATCTCTTTATTAAATTATTGACAGTATAAATTTCATGTATGTAAAAAGCCTATCATTTGGTAAGATTTGACATATATATGCACCTGTGAAATCATTTTAAAAAATCAAGGTAATGAACACAGTCGAGACTATTTTGAAAAGGAATATTGATTTCTTTGGGTTCTGGAAAACTAACTATTCAAAGACTGGATACTCCGGGATTGTAAGTGCCTAACTATGATTGATATGGAGCTGTGTATTTACAGCAATACCATTAAATGATATTCTAGTGACAAGTTAAATCCCTTCACAGTTTGGGATCTTAATTCTGCATGGTGCTGTAGGGCAATCCTTGTAAGGCCAACCAACTTGTCTCCTAGGTACTTGTCCTATCATCATGCATTTTTTTCATCTATTCACACAGGATTAATTGAGCAAATATTTACACTCTGAGAATGTCACCAAGATCAACTTAAAGCAAAAGGGAAAAATAGGCAAAGCATCTCTATAATACTTTTTTTTCTTTAATCTTTTTTCCCTTTCTGTGAAGACTCATTTTCCTGACTTCGCTGCCTCAGTGGTACTCTAGTCAGCACATCAGTCCTTATTAATATTCCTCACCTGGGGCCAGATTTTCCCAGTAGAGCCCTGTGGTCTGATTCTTTCATTCTGTTTATGGAAAAGAGAGGATAATAAATGAATCTTGCAGTAGTTGTGTTTGTTAATTACTTTCATGTTGTTTATAGAAAGAATAGATCAATAAATAAATCCATGCATTAGTTGTAGTGGTTAATTATAGCTTTAAATGACAATCCTTCAGGTTCAGATTATTTTAAAAGCTGTCATTTAATATTAGTTATGGCACTGCATAACTAATAACAAACTATTTAGCACCTTATGGATATTTTGGGTCAAGATAAGCACCATCCTGCTGCTTTTCAAATCTTATCATAATGCACTAAAGGAGTAATGCATAAAGCCACATTTGTCTCTTTACAACTCTGAGTCTTTTTTTCAAAACATGTCTTTGAAATAATATAAAACACCTCCATTTTTTCCATGTGTCTGTCATTATATACATGAAAGTAATATTGATATAACTTTAATTCTTTCATGAGTTTGTCCTCCAATATAATTTTCTTAATGATTTCAGTAATTTTCATTAGCTTTTTGGGAGAGGTAACACTACTTCTCTGACATTATGGTCCACTAAAATTTTTTATTCTATTTCACCCAAACTTAAATATCTTTGCTAGTTTTTATCATTGTCATTTTTTTTCCTTATTGCAAGTGAAAAGTTTGTCTTTTATTTCCATCCAATTTATTTTTGTTAGTTAAGGCACATTCACTGCTCTTTTATTAATGCTGAAAACTTAATTATTCAAACACAACAAAACTATATCTTTTTAATCAAGAATTACATGCTTCCATGAGAATAAAATTTTTTAATGTATGGTCTGCAATTGATTATAGTATTACCAGTATTGTGTGTTGTATTAGTATTACCAGTATTGTGTATATTAGTATTACCAGTATTGTGTGTGTGTGTGTGTGTGTGTGTGTGTATATATATATATATATATATACACACACATATTGTGTGTATATGTATATATACATATTTTATATCCAGAGGTAATAATTCTATAAAAATAAAATATTTTTATGTGGTAAATCCTTTATTCAGCAATAAGCAGTGAATAAAATTATATTTTATTCCTATGCGTTGCTGAAGTAGGAATAAATTAGGAAATCAGGAAATAATAAATAGATATTACCAAGTAGGGCACTCACACATCATGCTATCTTTCAAAAAGTATATTTTCATTATATTATATGAGAAAGATAATTCATAAAATGCTGTCAAAATTAAAGGAAGGTATTTGACATTTTAACATTAAAAATACAAAATGCATTGGAATATTTTATTTATGATACTTCTTTTTGATAAATGGTTAATATTAACAGAATTCTTGAAGATAAGAGAAATATATTTTCAGTTTATTACTTGTAGGCTTAAATGTCTTCTATCTATAGAAACAATCTCAATATTTGTAAAGTTAATAGTCTGTATAAGGAAAATGATTAAAATGTTTCTTAAATTATGCCATTTCTTTAAAAAATCACTATCTGTAGACTAATCAATAAATTTTTGGTTTTCATTTTCTACTGAATGGTATCTTAAACCCAATGTCATTGCACTGAAGTGAAATGCATCACTCTTTACAATGTAACAGGGCTACATCATTCATCTACCTCAATGATCTTTAAATTGCTATAACCAAGCTACAGTATCAAACAATCAAAATTTCTGTTCATTTCTTGGATATCTCTTATATTTGCAGGCAATTTCTATTGCTGATATTATTAAGTAAATCAGATAAACAAGATTAGAATGCTAGGCACTACATATATGTCATTTTCTGTGTTTCAGATCATTCGGAATGAGCTTCATTTTTCTTTTTCTACTTATTATTGACTTAAACGTTAAGTTGTTAGATTTCTTGCTTCTCTCCTGCTATTACTGCTATTTCTTTTTTGTCCCACGTGCATCAAAAAATAAGCAAATAATATTAAATTAGATGCTTTAATAAAACTATACAGCCAACATAAAAGTATGTCACAATCCTCTAATGTTTTGAATAACTTTAGATTTTGGTATCTCCTGCTATGTCACTACTTATGCATAAGACCCAAGCAGTTTCAAATTGTTTTGTATGTCTGTCACAAAACTATAGCACACTGTACAGAATAACTCAATTCAAAAATATTTGACCCTTTTCCCTCGCAGTACATATTAGTAATATAGAATGTATTTGGTCTATATTGCCTTTTACATTTATTTATCTTTCTTTTCTCAAGTGGATGATGTCTATATCCATATCATCTATCATATTTATATTATCTCTATTTCTATCTATCTATCATATTTTCTTTATAAAAAGATTACCAATAGTAAGTACTCAAAACCTTTGGATGATGCTATATGATCTTGAAGCAACCTGTGACTTTTGTTCCTCAATATAGGTCTAACCTTGCTATGCCATGATTCACCCAAATGGCTTCTTGGAAAAGGGGATTGATATAACAGCCCCATCATATTTTTGTGTGACTACATTGTGACCAAAAAAAAAAACCAAAAATTAAAAATCACACTTTCGCTAAAAAACCCTACTTATGATTATTTGTCTAAATAACATAATTTTGAAAATACTTCGTCCAAAATTACAATTCACTCTCTAGTGCACCAATGTATTTTCAATCAAAATATATTTCTGTTAGCAACAATAAGATAAAACTGAATATGAAGTCCTCAGTAAGTTAAAACATGGTTGCCATTCAAAAAAAGAAAAGGAAAGCCTTGAAAAAATGAACGGGAATATTACTTCTACCATCAAAAATGTGGACAGTGAAAAAAAGGCTAAAAGTTAAATATTACATAAAATATTGTAGGAGAAAGTCAAAAGAATAGGAAGAAGTGTAGCCAAAAATTATTTTGTATTTCAGCAATCAGGGTTTTCAAGAGAAAAGCATGAAAGAATTGATTTACCTTATAGAAAAATGTGAGCAATTTTTATAAGTAAGGTTTTTTAAAATAGATTTTTTCTTGGACTTCAATAAACTATAACATAACTATAAAACTGTAATTATATAGAGATTGTCTGTACTTACAGTGTGTCTTAGTCCATTTTGTGGGGCTCTAATAGGATACCTGAGACTGGGTAATTTATAAGGAATAAAGGTCTATTTAGCTCATAGTTCCTTAGTCTGGGAAGTTCAAGAAGCATGACACCAGCACCTTCATCTTTTCTGGTGAGGGCTTTCATGCTGTGTCACAACATGGCAGAAGTTCAAAGGGGAAGTAGACATGTCCAAAGAGACAAGACCCAAGGTGTTGGCTTTATAATAACCCCTTCGCACAAGAACTAACCCATTCCCATGAGAATTAATCCAGCCTTCCGAGAGTGAGAACTCACTTATTCCAGTGAGAAGGCATTAATCTATTCATAAAAGGTCCACTCACATGAACCAAACACATCCCCACCCTGAGGATCAAATTTAAACATGAGTTTTTGTGGGGACAAACCAATCCACATCATAGCAAACACATGAAAAACAAAAACAAAACAAAAACGTTTTCTCCTTTACTATTTATCACTAATAAGTAAAGGTTTTGGAATTGGGAGAAGACAAGTCTATGGAAAAGATACCTAACTAGAAGTCTAGTCTTTTAACAAACTAAAGGTTTTTTTAAGAAAGCCATTCAACCCACAAAACTTAGGCACTATATATATGTAAGATAGAGATGTTTCACCAAATGATTGCTAATTTTTTTCTTAATGTATGGTCCTTCAGAAATGTTTCGCATTCATCAGAAAAAATAATGCCTACTTGGAAAAACATTAGTATGTATATGAATGAATAAAATGTTCACGTATTTATTTTTTAAAGTAGATACAGCTAACACGAGAGCTATAAGCTATAAGAAAAAGAAAATATCTGGAAGAGACTATTGTATAATTAGGTTATCTAACACCAACAGCTAGAAAATAAATAGCATTTAGGAGGCCTGAATTTCTTTGTTTGTTTGTAAAAGACTGAGAATGTGACAACCACGGAAAGGAAAAGAAGGTGAAACAAATCTTATTTCATGACTTTCAATAAATAAAAATCACGTTGGAATGACAACCCAACCCCTGCATTGTAATTACTTTGTTTGTCCCAAGAATAATTATCCAATTTCCAATTTGCCTTGGAAGAAAAAAGTATACATAAACGTAACACTTTACATGAGAGAAAGAAATATGCAATTTCCCCCACAATCCTAAAAAAGACTGTCTCTTATTTAATGAAAGTGCACTTATTCAAATCATATTACAGCTCCAAATGGCTATAATCAGACATTCTAAAATGCATAAGCCTGTCACTGATAGATTTCTCATCTCATTTTGGGATATAGATTCATAACAACCTTGAAAGAATCAAAAGAAGAAATTCTCAAGCAAAGCATTTCAAATACAATTCCATTTAAAACCACAAAACTACTTTGATTCAGGTACTCCAGAGCAATAAAACTCCCCATAGTTTCTGATTAAGAATTGCTTGGAAAAGTTTTCAGTGGATAAGTGGTTTTCTCTTCATGAGCATCAAGTGACTTACTCAGGGTGATTATACTCAGCTAGATGCATTCATTTTACTAGTTAAACATTTCAAAGCACAACCTATATTAATCCAAGCTGTTTGTGGAATTATGTTAAAAATGAGATTCATTTCTCACTTTTGATTATTTTTCAAAATCCAGAAATATTATTTTACTATTATAACAGGATTTAATAACCCTGAAAAGTGTATTTATTGAATTTTTAAAAATCAAAATTCACTACCAGTAAGTAAAAGCCATTTTTTGCACCTGAATTACTATGATTAATAAAAGTGACTCTAATTACTCAAAAAGAGCATCTCCATCTCCAAACATTTATCTTATTGAAAAGAACTCTATAAAAACTCAGCTTTCTATATAACTTTGGTAGATTATTTATTAAATCTATAGAGAATTTACTAGAAAGACATTTAACACTCTAGAAGAAATGCTGACAATTTAAAATCAGAATAACAGGTCCTCAAAATATTTGTAGCTTCAACAAAATCAGAGGGAAAAGAAGTAGAGAAATAGTAACACTCGGGGAACCTATATCGACAACCTTAAGTGTCATGAACATAATAATTGATAGTAATACTATGCATCTTAAAAATAAGGCCTTATTTTGGAATAAAAATATTTAAATATCACCTTGAAAAAGGGTCCTTCAGAATTATTTGGAATTTGACAGAAATTTTGATAGAATTTGAGATTTTATGTGTGTGTTCACTTATGCTCTTACGGAAACTACAGACATGGATTAATTTGTTTGTTGTTTGTTTTTTAGTCTGTATTACTTCTTCAGTTATTTATATACTTATTTAATGCTTAGTAAATCTTTGGATTTCAACATGGTTACTAATTTTGGATTAGGAACAATGTGGACATTCATGTTTTGTTAAAACCTTTTTGATATTGTGGAAATCTTTAACTGTACATTATTTTACATTAATTATAATTAAAATCTAAGTAGCAATAAATTTTATTTAAAACGATCTAATATTAATTTTTAAAATTAGAACTAGTAAATCTATAATTTTTAAATGTTCTTTTTCAGAGTCCTTAGTTTCAAACTTTCACCAAAGGAGATAATTTGAAGACACATTTCATAAATTAAAAATAATTTTGGTTATGGTAAGAACTGAGTTTTTTGTTTTGTTTTGTTTTTTTAGACAGAGTCTCACCCTGTCTCTCAGGTTGGAGTGCAGTGGCGCTATCTCAGCTCACTGCAAGCTCCACCTCCCGGGTTCACGCCATTCTCCTGCCTCAGCCTCCTGAGTAGCTGGGACTACAGGCACCCGCCACCACACCCAGCTAATTTTTTTTTTTTTGTATTTTTAGTAGAGACGGGGTTTCACCGTGTTAGCCAGGATGGTCTCGATCTCCTGACCTCGTGATCTGCCTGCCTCAGCCTCCCAAAGTGCTGGGATTACAGGCGTAAACCACTTCGTCCGGCCTGAGTTTTATTATTATATGTAAAATTGCCACACTATAAAGTTTCTTCAGAATTTTTTATTCTAATCTAACATTGGAATATTTCCTATATACCAACAGTCAAGCCAAGAGCCAAATCACAAATGAACTCCCATTTGCAATTGCCACAAAAAGAATAAAATACCTAGGAATACAGCTAACAAGGGAAGTGAACGATCTCTACAAGGAGGGCTACAAAACGCTGCTCAAG
Source organism: Homo sapiens (assembly GCF_000001405.40). Lineage (NCBI taxonomy): Eukaryota > Metazoa > Chordata > Mammalia > Primates > Hominidae > Homo > Homo sapiens. The sequence goes on along the minus strand of NC_000004.12, from coordinate 93,252,740 downwards.
GAAATCAGAGATGACACAAATAAATGGAAAAACATTCCATGCTCATGGATAGAAAGAATGAATGTCATTATAATGGTCATACTGCCCAAAGTAATTTACAGATTGAATGCTATTTCCATTAAACTACCATTGACATTCTTCAGAGAAATAGGAAAAACTATTTTAAAATTTTTATGGAACCAAAGAAGAGCCAAATGGTCAAGACAATCCTAAGCTAAAAGAACAAAGCTGGGGGCATCATGTTACCTGACTTTGAACTATACAACAGGACTACAGTAATAAAAACAGCATGGTACTTGTACAAGAACAGATACATAGACCAATGCAACAGAATAGAGAACCTAGAAATAAGACCATATACCTACAACGATCTGATCTTTGACAAACCTAACCAAAAAAAAAAAAAAAAAATGAAGGATTCCCTATTCAATAAAAGGTGCTGAAATAACTGGCTAGCCATATGCAGGAAATTGAAACTGGATCCCTTCCTTATACCATATACAAAAATCAACCCAAGATGGATTCAATAATTAAATGTAAAACCCCAAACTCTAAAAACCCTAGAAGAAAAGCTAGGCAATACCATTCAGAACATAGGCACGGGCAAAGATTTCATGATGAAGACCAAAAGCAATTGCAGCAAAAGCAAAAATTGACAAATGGGATCAGATTGTGGAAGACAGTGTGGCAATTCCTGAAAGTCCTAAAGACTGAAATACCACTAAACCCAGCAATCCCAATACTAGTTACATACTCAAAGGAATATAAATTGCTCTATTTTAAAGACATGCACACTTGTGTTCACTGCAGCACTATTCACAATAGCAAGGACATGGAATCAACCTAAATGCCCATGTGGTACATATACACAATGGAATATTATGCAGTCATAAAAAAGAACAAGATCATATCCTTTCCAGGGACATGGAAGGAGGCCATTATCCTTAGCATACTAATCCAAGAACAGAAAACCAAATACTGCATGTTCTCATTTATAAGTGGGAGCTAAATGATGAGAACCACGTGTATTCATAGAGGGGAACGACACATACTGGAGCCTGGAAGTGGAGGGTGGTGGGTGGGAGGAAAAAGAAGATCAAGAAAAATAACTAATGGATACTAGTCTCAATACCTGAGTGATAAAATAATCTGTACAACAAACCCTCATGACATGTTTACCTATGTAACAAATCTGCACACCCTGCACATGTACTCCTGAACTTTAAAGTTTAAAAAATTGGAATATTTACAAATATGGTTACAAATTAATTCAACATGATACAGTTTTGCTTAAAATAAGCTCTGCTTAAAATGAATTTTATAACCTAGTGTTATAGATCATATCTGGAAATAAATCAATTTTTGCCATTTAAAAAAATAGAGCTTCAAAAATTTTTGTGCATGTGAGGTTATATTAGAGAGAAATAATCAGAGTGCTAGTGCTAGAGAGGAGCTACTTCAAATCACAGGCAAAATATTACTCATCATCAAGGTCTAAATTACTTGCACACTTCTGATAAACAATACACAGATAATTTTAAATATGAAACATTTAAATACAGAACTATCCAACTAACAAGGAGAAAATAAATGTTATTCCATTCATTTTCCATAGCTAGAAATAATGTTTCTTGAATGCAAGGTCACAGAGTTTCACATATTGTGAAAGAAAGGCATGACTAAAGGGGGACATTCTCAATTTTCAGAAATATTTGCCATCAGGTAAATAAGGACATCTTTACATTAACAGGGGGTATGTGTTTAAGGTCCTAGTAAAAATACTGCACATTTGAATAACCTCCCCTCAAAAACCAGGACTATAACAAGAAACAGACTATCCACTCACAACCATGTTTTAATAGACTTTATACTTTTTAAAATGAAGGCCAGTTTTCAAACAGAATGTTTCTGGTTTTGGCACAGCCTTTCTCTCTCTTTCTATGTATATATATACATGCATGCACACTTTTTTTATATATATATAAATATATATATAACATTATATATATGCACATATACATGTAAACATATATACGCATGCACATTTTATATATATATAATATATAAAATATATAAATATATAAAATATATATATATATATGTAATGATTTCAGTAGAAAAGTTTTGCTCTCTGGAATGGCAACAATATGTGTTACTTGTTTTTTTGTAATATACCACTTTTTTTTTGTCAAGAAGAAAACCTTGGAGTAAACAGTACCCAAATCAATAGCAGAATTATTATTTTTTTTATGCTTTAAGTTCTGGGATACATGTGCAGAACTTGCAGGTTTGTTACATAGGTATACACATGCCACGGTGGTTTGCTGCACCCATTAACCTATCATCTACATTAGGTATTTCCCCTAATGCTATCCCCCACACAGCACCCCACCCTCTGACAGGCCCCAGTGTGTGATGTTCCCCTCCCTGTGTCCTTGTGTTCTCATTGTTCAACTCCCACTTATGAGTGAGAACATGCAGTGTTTGGTTTTCTGTTCCTGCGTTAGTTTGCTTAGAATGATGGTTTCCAGCTTCATCCGTGTCCCTACAAAGGACGTGAACTCATCCTTTTTTATGGCTGCATAGTATTGCATGGTGTTTATGTGCCACATTTTCTTTATCCAGTCTATCATTGATGGACATTTGGGCTAGTTCCAAATCTTTGCTATTGTGAACAGTGCTGCAATAAAAATATGTGTGCATGTGTCTTTATAGTAGAATGATTTACAATCCTTTGGGTATATACCCAGTAATGGGATTGCTGGGTCAAATGGTATTTCTGGTTCTATATCCTTGAGGAATCACCACATTGTCTTCCAGAATGGTTGAACTAATTTACACTCCCACCAACAGTGTAAAAGCATTCCTATTTCTCCATATCCTCTCCAGCATCCGTTTTTTCCTGACTTTTTAATAATCACCATTCTAACGGGCATGAGATGGTATCTCGTTGTGGTTTTGATTTGCTTTTTTTAATGACCAGTGATAATGAGCTTTTTTTCATATGTTTGTTGGCTGCATAAATGTCTTCTTTTGAGCAGTGTCTGCTCATATCCTTTGCCCACTTTTTGATGGGGTTGTTTATTTTTCTTGTAAATTTGTTTAAGTTCCTTTTTGACTCTGGATATTAGGAATACAACTTACAAGGGATGTGAAGGACCTCTTCAAGGAGAACTACAAACCACTGCTGAAGGAAATAAGAGAGGACACAAACAAATGGAAAAACATTCCATGCTCATGGATAGGAATAATCGATATCATGAAGTTGGCCATGCTGCCCAAAATAATTTATAGATTCATTGCTATCCCCATCAAGCTACCATTAGCTTTCTTCACAGAATTAGAACAAAAACTACTTTAATTTTCATATGGAACCAAAAAAGAGCCCATATAGCCAAGACAATCCTAAGCCAAAAGAACAAAGCTGGAGGCATCTTGCTACCTGACTTCAAACTATACTACCAGTTTACAGTAACCAAAACAGCATGGTACTGCTAACAAAACAGACATATAGACCAATTGAACAGAACAGAGGCCTCAGAAATAGCACCACACAACTACAGTCATCTAATCTTTGACAAATCTGACAAAAACAAGCAATGGTGAAAGGATTCCCTATTTAATAAATGATTTTGGGAAAACTGGCTAGCCATATGCAGAAAACTGAAAGCAGAATTCTTAAAATGGGAAAGAGTAAGCATCCCAGCCAACCCAAAGTTTCAAAAAAGTTTTCCTTAATACCATAGTTTGTACCAAAAACAAAGGAACAAGTATCAATCAATTTTCAGTCACTACAGAATAGCTTAATTAGGACTAATGTCTTAGTGATGTCTAAATAGCTCCAATGGGTCAGGTGTCCTGATTAAGAAGGAAAATAAAATTACTGGAAAAAACAGACATAGGAGGCAATACAAGCATCAGTAACCTAAAGCCATTATTACAATTCCAATTATGCATTACTCACATGGACATAATATTCATTAGTTTGAATGAGAGTCACCCCCCTGCCAAATAAATGAACTATGAAACTTCTATTAGCACTTTTTGTGAAATTAATGCTCAAAACTATTCAAATTTAAATTATATAAAACCTAGTTACTGCTAAAAGAGAATGTGTAATCCCCTTGAGGCGTCCAGATAGGCCTGAGAGAACAAGATATATATATCTTTCTCTCAGACTACAGAGAAATTTAGAGAGCAGAGAAAGCAGAAAATTTGAGGTGTAATGAAAAGCCCCTGGAATTTTGGTTCAACAGAACCTATCATATCATGAGTGTTGTCATGTAATAAATTTGTCTGTGGTAGGCTTCCAACACATATGGGTGAATGGCTTACTCTTTGAGTCTCTCCTATCACTGTCTGCCCACTTGTGCAATTTCTGTGAAATAAACCTTCACTATCTGTCACTTAAAATTAAATCATGACAATGAGATCTTGCTAAAGGAGTACCCATATGAGCAAATGCTTCTTAATTCTGTGAATTCCTAATATAAGTTCTTTTAATAATTATTACCATAGTACTGGGTCCTGAACATTAGTTACCACTAGTGGCTGAAACTAGGAATTAGGTTGTTCAGTGGATGTTAAGTACCACCACATCATATTGTTGAATTTGAGCTGGACTGGAGCTTCACTGGTGTGTGTGTGTGTGTGTATCTGTTAGATATTGGAGTGACACAGATTCCAGTGTGCCCCACTGTTGATGCTCTCTAGTAGAGTGGGAAGGAAACTAAACTTTGCCTCCTCTGTATCAGACACAGTCTTGAACTCCTAACCCAACTAATCCTAAGCATGTGGACTACAGATGACACCACAGACTATCTCGGTCTCTTTATGAGCATATTCATGTCTGTGAATGTTCTCTGAGAGTATGGATGCCAATAGTAGCTAAATTCCTCACAATTAGCTCTTCCCTCAAACGTGGTAAGATATCATACCAAGGTATTGTCAGGGTTCTCCAGGGGAATATATGTATATATAAATATATATTTAAATATAAATATATGCCATATACAGAGATTTGATATGAGAGATTGGCTCACATAATTACGGAGGCTAAGAAGTTCCAAGATTAGCTATCTGGAAACTAGAGAACCAGAAAAGTGGGTGGTATAGTTTCAGTCTAAACCCAAGGGCCTAAGAAACAAGAGAGCCAATGATGTCAGTCCCAGTCTGGGTGTAAGGCCCGAGAACTGGGGGGCTGATGGTGCAATTCCCAGCTGGAGTCTGAAGGCCTGAGAACCAGGAGTGCCCATGTCTGAGCGCAAGAGAACATGAATTTCCCATCTTAAACAGGGAGCAAACTTACCCTTTCTCTGCCTTTTTGTTCTATTCAGTTCCCCAACAGATTGGATGATGCCTATCCGTATGGGTGAGGTAATCTTTACCCAGTACGCCAATTAAAATGCTAATCTCTTCTGGGAATACCTTATAGACAGATCCAGAAATAATGTTTTACCAGCTATCTTGGGACCCCTTAGCCCAGTCAAGGTGACACATAAAATTAACCATCACAACAAGCAAACAGTTCAGATTTTATAGTCCTTCTAGAAAAGTCGTTCCTATTTTCACCAAGACTTGGACACAGAATTGTACCCCATCAGTCATCTTTGCTCCACACTGGAGAGGTTGGCATGATCCCAACCACCAGAAGAGATAGCTCCCATTCTCTCCAAGAGGCAGTGAATGCTGCTTACCTGAGGTAGAACTCCTCCAGAAGTGATCTCAACCAACCAGCTGCTAACCCTTCCAGAAACTCAGAGTAACCCTAAACATCAGCAGATACGGGTTATTTTCTCTACTCTGCAGTGAAATCAGATAGGCTCCCTAAGAAGCTGAAACAATTTGGTCCACAGAATATACTTTTCAAGAGTGCAGGGTTCCCCTACCCATCAAGAGACTGCTGGGATCAATGATTTTGAGAGTCTAACTCAATGGTAATGTTAGAAAGTATTAGACTGCATATCCATCTCATGACTTTATGGTACAAGCTATTTTCTTGAAGACACATCAGAATAAAAGCTGATGGAGCTAAATGTATAATGATTATATATTATAAATAAAGGAGAATGGGATAAAGAAATAAAAGCTATTGTGTTCACAACATACTATTACTTCATAATATTTTCTTTTCTTTTTTTCTTTTTTTTTTTTTGAGAAGGAGTCTTGCATTGTCACCCAAGCTGGAGTGCAATGGCCCAATCTCGGCTCACTGCAAGCTCTGCCTCCCAGGTTCACGCCATTCTCCTGCCTCAGCCTCCCGAGTAGCTGGGATTGCAGGTGCCCGCCACCACACCCAGCTAATTTTTTGTATTTTTAGTAGAGGCGAGGTTTCACTGTGTTAGCCAGGATGATCTCGATCTCCTGACCTCGTGATCCACCTGCTTCGGCCTCCCAAAGTGATGGGATTACAGGTGTGAGCCACCATGCCAGGCCCTACTTCATAATATTTTCTAGATTCTCTCTATTATATAAACCTTCCAAGACACAATTCATTGCTGGAACTAGGACAGTAATTGAAGATGGCAGATTTTCCAATTATGGGCTTAAACTATAAAGACTGGGTTTATGCAGGCTATGTTTACCATCAGATTTTCTGTTATTAGATTTCCATACAACTGTAGATATTATAGTTTCCAAGCCTTGATTAACAGACTTGTAGAATTTTGGAGCCATAAAGGACATTAAATGAAACAAAAAAGTTAGTGTTTCATGCTATCACTGTGACTGTCATGTATAATCCTCTGTCAACCACATCTAAAATCAAGTTACTTTCACCACCTCACATAGCAGCTTCTTGTCAGAATAGCAACTAGACTTTGTAGTTCTTGTGTTGGGTTGAAAATGAATTCTGTTAATTCCTGTATATTTCTGAACAGGTATTATTTTAATTTTCCCTTATTGTGTAACCTACAAACATAATTTCAATTAATCCTTACAAAAATCCTGAGAGATAAGTATTACTATTCACATGTTACATGTGTTACATTCACATATTATAGAACTTGAAACTCAATTTGCTTTGAAGTCCAAAGATCAAACAATCAGTAAGTGACAGAGGCAGAATTTCAACCCAGGTATGTCTAACAGCAAAGGCTACACGTTTTTCCACTACAGCCTGTTAAATCTAGTCTCGCTGTGAGACAATAATCTTAAAAGTACAAATACTAATGGTCCGAATAAACTTGTACTTTTATGGGTATTTCCATTTTGCTTGGAATAATCAATTTAAGTACTCACTATTTCCCTATTCACAACAAATTCTTGCAAACAAATTATACATATATCTTGCTTAACCATTAAAATTATTGTTTATACTTTTGGTGATCAAGTGCCCAACTCTGATAGGAATTGAGGATAAAGAGTGTAACACCCACTAACATTCTGGTTAATTTAAATGCAAATAATTATGTTTCATGTAAATAGAAGAAAAACAAGGCTGCTAAACTTACAGATGCAGAGAAGAATCTTATGGATTCTTACATCAGTATGCACATGTATTCATTAGTTCATTCATTAAATACTTAACAAGCATCTATTATATGCCATTCATTAGGAATACAACAGAAAACAAACATAGTTCTTGTCTCATGAAGTAACATTGTAATGGGAAAGACAAATTATAAAAGAGTAAGTTAATTATATTTACATATACACATAGAAGAGTTATATGTATAATTATATTGTCAATTCACAATATTTTCTAGATTCTCTCTATTATATAAACCTTCCAAGACATGAATTCATTGTTAGAACTATGACAGTAAATAACTATGGCAGATTTTCCAATTATGGGCTCAAATTACAACTGGGTTTTATATTACAAAGACTGATATAATATCAGTTTGCAAAAAGTGCTTTAAGAAAACATAAAACAGGGTAATACCAAAAGATAAATGTCATTTTAGATATTCCAGAATCAGAATACAAATAAAATGCTGAATACAAGTGCAATATTTAATCACTGGCTATTTGAAAGCAGAGCTGTTCTCTCCTCCTTATAAGTACAAAGCAATTAAAGATTTTAGTCCATTAAAAATTGGTGTATTTTTAATAGATTACATAATCTATTAATTAATATATAATAGATTATATAATCTATTAATTAATATATAATAGATTATATAATCTATTAATTAATATATAATAGATTATATAATCTATTAATTAATATATAATAGATTATATAATCTATTAATTAATAGATTATATAATCTATTAATTAATAGATTATATAATCTATTAATTAATAGATTATATAATATAATATCCTTTGCGAAGCAGTACATTAGGTTTGCCCAAGAACACAAAGTTGTAGACTTTGTGAATTTAAAGCTGGAGAGCCCGAATAAAGATTCTAAGTATATCTGAGAAACCACTGTACCTAGGAGGTAAAATATCTCTGACGTACATTTTATTTTACCAACTTATGAGAAAACACTTTTATGAAGATATTAAGCATTACTATGCAATTAAGATTGGTTGTGAAACCAGCTTTAATCAGCTTTTCCTAGCCTTATTCCGTTTGTGATAAAGTTCAAAGACACTAAGTCTAGAGTATTACATTTTAATACTGGAATTCAGTCTGCAATAATATGTGAGCAGCACTGGCAAACTTAACAAAAATGAGACAAATAAGCAAACAACATTATGTAAAACTCTTCTAATGAAAAACATATATTGATTCCTTAAACGTAGAGTTATTTAATCTTTACTTTTTATGTCTTCTTATAATAACTTTTGCTCAAATTAATTTTTTTTTTAGAAATTCTATATAGTGACTAACAGAAACAGAAATAACCACATTCTTGGGCAAAATTTAAGGGTATAGAAAACCTTAGCGATTTCAAAATTTGACTTTGAGTTTTACCTGAATTTATCTTCAAGGGTATATACAATGTGCTAACATGTTGATATACCATCTGCTAAATAAGTACCACCTTATGACAAAATAGAAGAACATGTAAAAATTATCAAAGTAAGAAAGTCCTTAATTTAGATGAACATCAGTGAGAATCAAATAATCCCTTCCACATTCTCACCAAACTCAAAAAAATGAAACCATCATTCATACAATGCCAAGAGAGCAAAGACTAGTCCAAAATTTGGGATTATGAATCCTTGGTACATCACACATTCAAATCCTGAGCAGACAAAACTCTGTTTAGTTTATGAGACCTGACAATACCCCTGCTTGAGGTGATAAGGCTGCAGTCTTTGTATACACTGAGCCACTGGCAGCAGAATAAACACTGACAACTTGACAGTCCGTCAACTGAAAAACCATTCACTCCTTTTGAGACATGGAGAAACTGGGAGTGGAACCTTCATTTTGGACACACATCTAGTAAATCTATATTGCAATTGTTTGCGTGGTGTTATTTTCCTTTCATAAGTATCTTTGAAAGCATTATTATATGGGTTAATACCTATACAAAGGAACTGCCCCATTTATAAAATGAGCTGGCAAGCTATGAATTAATCCATAATACTTTTAAAATTACTTGAGTGTTAGATCTGGAGTTTTAAAAAAATTAGTAATTAAATTGCAGCTTAGTAGAAAAATAATTGAGTTATAAAAATGAAAATTTCAAAATTAAGAATGCTTAAATTTGTAAAACAATGCAAAAAAAATTTCAAGTGTCAAAGGTATACAAGGTACCATGGAATAAATATTTATAGTGCCTTTCATAATACCTCTATAGTGCCAGCTCACAGAACATTTCAATACAGTTTGGGAGTTGGGACATAGGAACATAAAAAATGAAATAATTACAGGAGTTATTACTTAAGGACAAAGTAGATGTAATCTAATGTGTATGATTCACTATCATTTTAATAGCAGAGATTTAACAATTACAAACTCTGAATTCAGAGCAGGTTGAAACAACTATATTGACCTCAGAACTCCGTTAAATGACACTGGTTTTAGAAGGCTAAATGAAGCTCTCCTCTGCCACCCTCACAAACATCCCTTGATGAGTGCCTAGAACCTACCCAGCCTTAGGATAATGAATTCAGTTCTCTCTCTCCCCAAACATAATTTCTGGCTCTGAAGCTCTCTCACTTAATCCATACTAATATACAAGCTCTTCAGATGTGCTGAACACACACTAACCTCTCGAGCCATACTTTGTCTCTGTTATACTCTTCCTTTCTTCATTGCCATTCATGTTCAGTTTAGATTTTATGCTTTGTCACTTCAACCATTGCCTTGCCAATGTTCTTAACCATACTGCCTTGTTGTACTGCTATCAAACACAAAGCAACACAATACAAAACAAAAATAACCCGATGAAGCTTCAAGCCTACATTAATTTAAATTTATTCAGTCTGCTCAATGCTGCTGGACAAACATCCACAACTGTGTAGATTAGTACTACAGTGATTTCTTGATCTCTAGCCTCATGTGAGCCAATAGCCCTCCCTGGCATTTCTTCAATATTCCCTAGTCACCTCTCTTGTTTGCCACAGCAGCTATTTCGAAACTTCTCCACTGTTGTTAAACCTCCAGTCTCATTATTGCCAATGCCTTCTGCTGCATTTTCCCAATTAGAAGATAATCTTGCCTCCTATTTCTCCAAGCAAAGACAATTTATTAATAATTTTCTTAACTTCCTAACATCAAACATAAAGACTTGCTTGCAAACACAGCATTCTTTTCTTACCCCTACCCCTTATCACCCTGGAAAATGATGTTCCCCGGTGCCTATGGTTAAGTACTCCATCTAATTCTTGATCCAATCCTCTCTTTTCCCCTACTGTATCGCTATCAATTATCACCTTTCTTTCTTATATCTTCATTTTCTTCTTCACTACTGGCTTGGTCTGTGAGCATTCAAATATACTCAAATCTCTTACATTGTAAAAAATCTCTCCCAACAACTTCACAAAGTCATTTAATTACTACCCAAACATACTCACTTTTTTTTTTTTTTTACTTTTCTACTGTTGCTATTTAAACATATGGCATTACCCCTCTACTGAAATTTCAGTTATTAATGAAAATTAACCACAACTTCTTGTGATGTACTAGACATGGTTCTGGATGCTTTGCCTTGTTGCTAACTCATTTAAGTTAGGCCAGCATACCTTAATTTCAAAATCCAACAGAAAGGACAGCTTTAGGCAACCTCAGTCATAAGTATCAATATAAAACCCTTATGCAAGGTGGTAGCAAATCAAATAATTTTATGTAAACATAAGCATAATTATAATTTTACATATGTATAAGCAATTTTATATAAAATTATGCATATCCCAGGAACGTATGGAGTTTCCTTAATCTGATCTAAGTTAGTTATAAATATATAGTAGTATAGTGGTATAGTGGTGAATGTTTTCTCTCCGAGATTGATAACGATCCAAAAATGCCTACTACTGTTATTTCCATTCAACATCATCCCTAGAAGGTGTAAAATAACAAAAGAAGAGGCAAAAACTCTTATTAATTGCAAATGACAAGACAATTTGCAGAAAATTCACAAGAATCTACAGTTGAATTATCAGAATTAAAAGTCTGAGCAAGAGTGCTAGATATAAAATCAATATAAAATATCATTTGTATATACAGCAGCAAACAGAAAATGACATTTAGAAGATACCATATTATATTTATAGACTATAATACCACTCAGCAATATAAATTAAAAGACAAACAAGCAAAATTATTGACACATGAAAATAAGAATGTACCTTAAATGTTGAGAGAAGAAAGACACAAATGTGTAAATACTACCTTATCCATTTATATAAACTTTCAGGCCAAGCAAACTGTCTGTGCTTCTAATAATAAAAACAGGAATAATGGCACTTTCTGAGTGACAGAAACATTCAATAACTTGACCTGGTTAGTGGTTAAATTGGTGAATGCGACTACTCTAAGTCATTGTGCACTTAAATTATATCTCAATAAAACAAATGAAGAGTATTGAAGAGTAAAATTTTACCTTTTTCTTACCCCGTATATATATAAAAAAAAAACTTCTAGATAGATAAAAGACCTTAATTTGGAAGGCAGAACTGTAAAACCCTTGGAACATAATTGAGCATAATATATTCATGACTCTGGGGGATAGGGAGTAATTTCTTAGATAATACTAAACAGCAATAATAATAAGGATGAAAATTCATAGTTCCTCTAAATTTAAAGATACTATAAATGGCATTGAAATAAAATCCACAGAGAAGAAAACAAAACTGGCAAAAATTAAATGATAAAACACTAAAATTCAGAATATATACATAACTTCTAAAATCAATTATAAAAAGCAAAAGACACCCTTCTCCAAAAAAAAAATAATGAGCAATTAACTCAGAAACACCTGAAGAGCCTAAATATGTAGGAAAAGGTGCAGACTGTTTCATAATCAGGGAAATGTAAATTGAAATCATGAGGATATATCATTATATCCACCCAATAAGTTAATAAAATTTTAAGTCTTACAAATTCAAGACTTGATTAGAATGTGGGGCAATGCCTGCACTGCTGGTGGTATGTAAATTAGTAAATTACTATGAAAATGGGTTTGATGTTATCTGGTAAAGTTCAAGATATGGTTTCTTATATTGCAGGCAGTTCTACTTCTGGATACAAAACCTACAGAAATACACCTACAAGCATAAAAGTATCCAAGATGTATATCCAAGAATTTTTGTAACAGCAGCTTATAGCAGTCTAAAAATGGAAACAAACTGCAGTGGTGTGGGACAAATCCATACAATAGAAAACAATACAGCAATATAAATGAATAAACTGCCACTCCATGTAACAACAAGGATCAATAACATAAACACACTGTTGAACACAAGAAGCAAGAAGAAAAGGATATACGCATTCTTGAGACCATTCATAAGTTGAAACATTGACAAAACAATTATATAAGGATGTAAACACAGGTGATAAAAACATATTTTAAATGCAAATAAATTAACATCGTAAAAATCAGTCTAAATATTACACTATTGACAAGGATGGTCTGACGGTAATCAGAGAGAAGCATATGGGAGGGTTGAGAATCCTGGCTATTTTCTATTTCTTGACCACAGTAGTGGTTCTTTCCTTTAAAATAATTCACTAAACTTTGTGTTTTATGCAGTTTTCTATATGTTTCATATTATTCACTATAAAACAAAAATTTTAAATGCATCAAGATAGTTTCATCCATATTAGCATGAATTTATTGAGAAATTTGTATTGCTAATTACTCCTCACTTCATTTTGTCTAGGTTGTTTTGCATCTTACATCTCAGCACTAAAAATACCTACTGAAGAACCTGTTACCCTAAATGTCATCAACTTTAGACAGTTAGAAATTTACAGTTACCAGCTCTGCGTACACAATTATGTTAGGTTTTTCCCTACCAAATATAGATAGATAGATAGATAGACAGATACATAGATAGATAGATAGCAAATCCAAATCATATATATATGTGTGTGTATATATACATATGATTTGATATATTTATATGATATATATATGATTTATTTCCCTACCAAATATATCTATATGTGTGTGTGTGTATATGTGTATATATATAATTTGGATTTGCTATATATATATATATTATATATATCAAATGCTATAAATATATATATATTTGATATATATATCAAAAATTTATATATAGCAAATCCGAATTATAGAAACATCATTTATATAAGGGCGTTTGTATTTCTCCTTGAGAAAGTTATTGTCCCAGTATTTCATGAAACATCATTATTGGCACTCAGCTTCTTCTTACATGTGATCAGTAGTATCCAACAAGAGTTCATTTTCTGCAAACTATTTTCTACATATTACATGACACATACAGAAGGTAAAATACTGTAATGTCACATCTTGCAGTAGACTTTCTGTCTTACTATATGAAATTTATCCAAGCTCTTATTCTGATTTTGTACATGTTACAAGTTAAAAACCAAGCAGCTACAAAGTGTATAAATATTAAATTTACTATTTTATAAAAACTATTATTGTAACAAATGAAAGATGATGCTATTTCCCTAGGTAAGATTCAGATTACTTTTTTCCTTTACATTATTCTAAGTCGGAAATAGAATTTCTTGCTTAATACTTCTGGTAAATATTTAAAGTCATTTCAATGCCTAATTTCCCCTCACCCCCTGCTTTCTCTTTCACACTACAATATTGACTTTAATGGGTACTGTGATCATACTGCATGGAAAACAATCAAGCAAAACCATAGTATAGGAAAAAGCGTATTAATCAGTGTGTCTTGTCTTACTTTTCGAACACCTCTGCCAAGCTCTTCTCCATAGTTGGTTCCAAGGATTTCAAAGTGGACATTGGGATTGCCTCCATTTTCTCCAAATTCTAGCTCTCCAGTCAACCCACTAACTCCACCCTAAAGGAGAGAACAGATACTGATGTAAAATTTGAGAAGTAAAAAAATAAATAAATAAACATAAAAGGAACTTCTAGGAACTCTACTTCTATCTATAAAATAATATTTAAAGTAAGCAATTTTTAACAGACTACTTTTTAAAATAGGTACACAGCATAAACAGGAGTACAGTTGAACCTAACTTTGGAAATTCCTTAATCCAATCTCATCCATTTTTCATAAAAACAGAAATTTAGACCCCAAAAGTCAAGTGACTGCTCAAAATGAAACCATGTTAGAGCTCAGACTAAGTTCCAGGCTCAAGTTTTTGCCACCATACCTTGTGACTTGAATGGATCCATCTTGAAAACAAGATGCTTCTGGAGTGCATAAAATCTATATAAGATAGATTTCAACAATCTTCTTTGTTCTAGCACAATTCCATTCAATTTGGTCTAAAATTATACCTGGGGATCTTAAAATCCATGGTTTCTAGATTATTAGAGGGTGATTTTTTTGCCCCTTCTTTAAATATATTTTCCAAATCAAAAATAAAAGAAAGTTAAATTAGGCTTGAAATCTGTTTTTGCTCTTAACGGGTAGTGCTGGCTGTTGAGATTCTCTGGGAATTCCAAGCTTCATCTTTCATTCAATATGACAGATGTTCATTTATCCAACAGATGGCAATGTAGGTCATACTTCTCTCTTTCTTGTTTATCATTCTTTTCTCAGTTTAGTTTATCAGTCTTCATATTATTTAGGATTTTACAAATGAAAATCGCACTCTGAGTCACTTCAATGCTAAAATATGTCTAACTTAAAATTTTGGCCTGGTAATGACATTTATTTAGAAAACAAATGATCTCAGTTTTGTAAATTGTTTTAATTATCACCTCTAAGATGTTGATATTTAAATATATCTCACTTGACATAACCTGCAACTCCGTTTCCAGTCTTTTCTGGCTGGTAGTAATATTATGCTATTTGCTTTTCCTTCTACTTCATTTGTGCCTTGTAGCCCAATCACCTGATGCAAAGTTCATGATGAGTTCAATAAACTATTTTTGATTGATGTTTTCCTACCTGAATCACTAATTTTAATATTTAATCTATTGTATTTTTATAATAGTAATAATCAACAAAATTAATTCTTTACTATTATTCCCTAATCAGCCAGTTTCTATTATCTAGTTTTATTAATAAAAATCCTAGTGGATTTTCATGCATGATTTAGCAGTCAAGAACATAGGTCACACTTCCTGGGTTTCACCAATGGCTTCGGGATCTACTAGATGTGTAAACCAGGCTAAGCCATTTCATTTATGCCTCAAACACTAGATCTGTTAAATGGGAAAATAATAGTGCCTACCCCAGAAGATTATTCTGATTCTTATAATACATGTACAGAATATTGAAAAGTTCTTGACATGTGGTAAGAGCTTAAATACTATTATCATCATTACTTCCACTGTTACTTAATTCTTTATTTTTGAAGGATTTTTAGTTCTCTTAGAAATCGTTGGCATAATCTTGTTTTGTTAATTAAAATTCAGTGGGTTTGCCAAAAATTATTATACGCTTAAATATTTAGATGGCTTTGGAAAATATTTTTGCAAATGTCAACTCAGTTACATTTCATTGATTAGTACTTGAAGAGAAAAAAGTTAAGCAGCTGGTCTAGGATGTATTCACTCCTTTCACTGGTGTGTGTATAGGGCAGCAACTGAGGGTGAAGGTTGGTCTAATTTCCCTGCCAATTGGAACTCCAGGTAAACAGACTGGTAATATTTACTAGGTGGAAGATTCCTTATCTATACAAAGCCCTTAGCAGGATATCCCAGGCTAAAAAATACTGTAGTAAATAAACCCAGGATCTATGGATTAATGGTTTGTGGCTCCTCAGAAAATGTCCTGAAGCTTTACATTTTCTCGGGTAAAAATGGAAATGTTTCATAATGTAAATCCTCCCTGTGGTGAGAAATAAACCTATGAAACCTTCCTTGGAGACCGAATCAGCATTTCCAGTGTGGGAAGAAAGAACCTGGGGAGCCATGCAGAATGTCTCCTCCTTTTTCTCCTTTGTTCCCTTTGATTGCTTGTATTTTTGATAAGGGCAATATACCTGATTCTTGCCAATCTATTCCGGTATGTGCTCACTGTTAATATCTCAAAACATCCAATTATATTTTAAAGACTGAAGTAAGTGCAGTGCATCTTATTATCATTAGTATCTCCAAATGACAAATACTGTAGGAATTTGATTGACAAATATAGCTTATATTACTACAAGTAAGTTCAAAAACTTGTGTTCAGAATATTTTTATACAAGTTTTTCTTGTTCATAATCACACATCTACCTGATTAATATCTTCTAATTATATCAGAATCTTAAATTTATGTTTTAGTAGCTTATTTATACGAAAAAGATATCATATATCAATATAATTGCTACATAAAACTACTATATCCCTAAAATGTTTACACATTTGAGCACTAGACTAATCTGGTGTTGTGTTATTATTTTCAATCAATACCCACATGACCACTCCAGGTCATGCCTTTATCCTTTACTTTATCTTCCACTGAATGACTTAGTTTACTTGAAGAAGGTACAGAAAACAATAAATTGGGGGACTTGCATTTAGTTTGCTGCAGCATTTACTTACCTTGCTCAACTTTATGACTTTGTGATTTATCTTCCTTATGCTATATTCCTAATGAGCCGTTGGCATGTAAAATCAGTGAAACCTTCCCTCATGAAGATGTCAGGGATGATTCAGAGGTCAGTATTTCGAGCAAATAAACCCTTTAACTAAAACCTATTGTTATATCACCCAGACTTAACCTCTCTGATTTTGGATTGCCTTAGAAAATTCCAGCGCTTTAAAGCTTTTTTCCATCTATCCTCAAATTAACCTTGAAAACAGAGCCTTGGTGAAAATGTGTGCTAGCCAAGGGGTAATGAATGGTCATTATTTTTGTGCATGCATGGTGGTATTTTTTATCTCTTGGTGATGCAGCAGATTTTCAACAATATAAGCTAATGGGACATTGGTAGTATGAATAACACATACAGATAATTTCTAAACGTCCTTTAAATTGGCAGTAAAAATTGCTGCCAGAGTAAACCTTTTTAAAAAATATGAAATAAAATTTGTTTTAATTTCATCCATCCACTTGATATAGAAATACCAGTGGACATCAAATATAGAGAGCAAAGAGTAGAAAAATTAAAAGAAGAGAATCAGAGGTTGAGAATAATTTACCACTGGATAATGAGTTTCTAAAAGGCAAAATGTATTATTCACCTATGGCTAGGAAAAGTTGGGGAAAAAGTAAAAAAAAAATTACTGAGACTTTATGTCATTCTGTTTATGATGAAGGATCTTTTCCTACGCTTGAAATGGCAAAGGAACTTAAGAGATACTTTTGGAGGATCACGTGGGACATCAAATATTTATCATACTCGTCTAATTTCCTTATACATATTTCTAGGTTCCTTGTAACCTGCAGATGTGTGTGGTAACCAAGGATAATCTGTTAATATAAGCATGGGCCCAGCAAGGCAGTGAATACTCTGGGAGGTGCCAGACTCAGCAGGGAGCCCTGATGCCTTCATGTTTCATCAGCATCAGGTTCAGAGAGAAAAACCCCTAACCAGAAAAATACCACATTTTCTACCCAACAAACAAATATTTTTATGGGTAAATAGAAACTAAGATACAAGATGCAAAAAAAAAAAAAAGAGGACGACAAATACAAAGAATCTAGTTTGTGTGAAATATCTAGGAAAATTTGAGTTGCCATGTAACATTACGTGTGTGTATATATACATATATTTGCATATATACATATACACTCAAATAGTCATTCATAATAGAGACTCACAGCCAGCTGAGAAGTAAACAGGAAGTTACAAGCATTGTGATCATGCTGTCTCCATCTTAGGGGACCCTTAGGCCCTAAGTCAACCGGTTAACTGAGGAGCCCAAACTGAAACCTTCATCTTGTGTCTCGTATTTTTTCCTTTGGACTATGTAAACTGTGTGTTCAATATAACATATTATATATAGAGAATTGCTCAGAAGGGCATGTTGAACTGAATTAAATTAAATCTATTCCAGTTTACCTACTTTATGATCAAAATGACCTGAAGCTGGAGTGTATCTTGGTGAATTGACAAGAGGCCTATACCGAGAGCATGGATGACAGTTTTTAAATCCCCATGACAAAAAGTTTATTTGCACACATTTTTGTAAAAAGGCTACCTTATATTTCAAGACAATACTGTTTGTGGTAAGCCAGATTATGTTTTCCTAAATTCTCTCTCTTTCCTTCAGATTTGTAAATTCTAAATGATACATAGTGCTTTAAACAAAAAGTAATGTCTCCATTTCTCTAAGTATGCAGACGTTTTAAAAGGCCACAAAACCAAACATGACAACTTATTAGAGTTCATTTTGTCCCAACCATTAACCTAGGAATCATTATTTTAATCTTTGTCTTCCTCACACACTTATTAAATCACCAAATCTTATTTCAATCCTGTAAATATCCTCAAGGATATCTACTTCTATCCATCCCATGGCCCACAACCTAACCAGGTCCTCTCTAAGTAAGAAGATTAGCCTCTTAATTGGTGTTCTGTCATGCAGTCAGTCTGGTTCAATGGCAGTTGCAGAATTCTCTACTTGGCAAGCATGGGATAATCTGATTTTATCACCACCCTGTTTAAAATACCTCAGTGTCGGCTGGGTGTGGTGGCTCACACCTGTAATTCCAGCACTTTGGAAGGCCAAGACAGATGGATCACCTGAGGTCAGGAGTTCGAGACCACTCTGCCCAACATGGTGAAACCCTGTCTCTACTAAAAATACAAAAATTAGCCAGGTGTGGTGGTGCGCGCCTGTAATCCCAGCTACTCAGGAGGCTGAAGCAGAAGAATCACTTGAACCCAGGAGGCAGAGGTTGCAGTGAGCTGAGATCACACCACTGTACCCCAGCCTGAATGACACAGCGAGACTCCATCTCAAAAAATAAAAAATAAAAAAAAAAATAATAATAATAATAATAATAATCCTTCAGTGTCACGTTATTCCTTGAATAAAATTTGGAAATTTCAACATCGTTTATCAAACCCTTGATGGTCTTTCCCCCTTTTAGCTAATTAGAAGCCATGTCTCTATTCTGGCTGCCTTGGGCTTATTTCAGGTGCTTCAATGTGTTAAGCTCTCTTTCCTACAAGCCTAGAAACATTCTATTTCATTTGCATGAGGCATTCTTCCTTCCCCTTTCCTGGAATACTCTTCATTTTCCTTTCTTGGCTAATGCATACTTAGCCTAAACGTTTCCACTTATCTATCACTCTCAGGCCTAAGTAGGCCCTCCAATGACATATTTCTAGAACACTTGGTATTTCTCCTTTTGTAGAACAAATCATGCTTGTAATTATTTTTGATATTTCTATTTTCCTTCCTTATTCTCTGATCTTATGGTACAACATATGGTAGTATTCAATAAATATTTGTTGAATGAATAAATTACCATGTAAGAAATGGTATAATTTCAATATTTTTATCATTTCAAAAAATACTTTTTGAGATATCAACATATATCAAGATAACTCTATGAGATATCATATTGATATATGTTGGGCTCAACATATATCAATATAAGAAAATGTACTGGTACTTAAATATTTGACATATTGCATAAACTGATATTTTCTATTTTCCCACATTCCATATTAAAAATAATTACATAAATTTTAACAGAAATTGGTCAATTAAGACAATGCAAAAGAATTTGATTTAAAGATCTATTACAATTTAGTTCACTTACTAATATAGAATACATATATCAAGATAACTCTATCAGATATCATATTGATATATGTTGGGCTCAACATATATCAATATAAGAAAATGTACTGGTACTTAAATATTTGACATATTGCATAAACTGATATTTTCTATTTTCCCACATTCCATATTAAAAATAATTACAAAAATTTTAACAGAAATTGGTCAATTAAGACAATGCAAAAGAATTTGATTTAAACATCTATTACATTTTAGTTCACTTACTAATATAGAATACATAGAAAATGTCCAGTGATTTTATGTGCAATCACATAATTTTGAATCTAAGATTTTTCTTAGCTTTTAAAAAATTAAATAAAAGAGGTAAAGGTGTTCTAAAATTCAGGTCTGATTTTATCCAAAAATTATTTAGTGTCTTACATTTACCCACAAAATAATTTTTTTCCTAAATCACTTTCCAGTCAAAACAATTTTATGTGTTCTCTGCACTCTGGTAATCAACTCTTGTCATTGTACAAATGATTTAGTCTAATAGATATATCAGCTACAGCATTCTACCACCTGAAATATCCTCCTTCCATAGCTTTATATATCCTAAGCCTGCTAGTTTTGAAATTTCCATTAAGATGCTATCAGTTCCATGCAAATATTTCTAATCTATTTTCTAAGTTGGGTTCTCAAGGAAACAGGTATGAGATGGAGATTTGCTTGTATGCAGAAGGTTTATTTGAAGTGCTACTGAGAGAGCACTTGCAATGGAGTGAGGGAAGAGGGACTGGACAGAGGAAGAGATGAAAGTTTGATGCAAATACAATACCAGTTTAGATCATCCAACGTACTAGTCTGTAGATAACCCTTCATATTTGTCCCCTGAAGAAATGAACTTAGACATTTCTAGTTTTGCAATGACTGTTCATTGGATTCATGCTGCCCCTAGAAAGAGGGTGGAACAATTCCCGTCCATGGCAATTCCTGAACAGAGGCTCAGATGTCTTTCTTGGCTGTGAAGCAAGTATCTCAGTATGTACCACAGCACATTACACTCTTCTCTAAGATTCTACAGTATCCTATATTTACCACATTTGGGTCTTTTTGTTGTTTCTGGCCTTAGAGTGTAGCTCTTTGTATAGTTAGTCAATATTCACTACTGGCCTCTAAATTTCTTTTTTTTTTTTTTTTGGCAGGGGGTGCGGGGTAATTCCATAAATGAGTTTGCACAGTACATTCTACAATATAGAAATTTGATAAATACCTGTTAAAAGAGTGATTAATACATGAATGAAGTGCCCTGTTGAAAATTGTTTCAGTATTAAAAATATTAACACTAAGAAAAAAATGAAAAATGATTTCTATTTAAATATAGTACACTTCTGTAAATAAAAACAGGCTACTCGTGTTGCAATGACATGGCACTATTCCAAGAAGGTAGATCTGCACTGGGCAAATTGATTTATAAATACCCCAGGGGAGTGGTTTTCAAATTGTAGCTCTAAGAGCTGATTGTGGTGGGTGTCTCTGGAAATCCTCTCCTACTTTTTTCCAGAACAGCTCAAATTTATTGATTATATTTATATAGTTAAAAAGTTTGAAAGCTTGCTCTAGGTTACATAACACTAACAAATTAAATTATACTACATGAAAACTCTTTCCCAATATATAAATATAGTTTTCATGAGAAGCTACAACAATGTAACTTGTCATAATAAACTAAAGACTGAAAAACAAGCCATATTAAAACTTAAATAGGGTTTATATAATATTAATTGAGGGTGTTTATTCCCATGATTTCTTGGTGTGCATGTTTAGCCAAGTGACTTTGACAGGAGTGAATAAAAATGATTGCCATGAACAAGAAAAATGGTAAATGGTAAAGTACACAGACACCAAATTAGAAACCAAAAAACCTGGTATTTAAAACTAATTAGCTACGCAACACTTAGTACATCATTTAATTTTTCTGAATTTCGGTTCTGTACACCTAAAAATAGAATAAAAAGGTTAGATTAACTTTATTGTGACTTGCTACTCTATAACTGTACAAGTTACTAATAAAAACAACTTAATTACATAATATAATAAAACAAAAATAGAAGAATACTTTCTTTACAAAATTTTTAAAAATCCTCTTTTCAGATAATGCTCCTGGTATGTTTAAGAGTATACTTGTTGCATGCTGCTTTTTAAGTCTATGCCAATACGTAAAGTATTAGAATTGGAGTGATTAATTTTATTTGACAGTGATATCAATGTATATTTGAAAAATACAAGAGAACCAGTAATTAAGTTTGGAAAGTTGATCAGGTCAGTCAAAAAATATATGAAACATCAATATCTTCCTTTAATACCTACAATAACCAGTTTGAAAATCTAATGGAACATATCTCATTTATGATAGCATGCACACACACACACACACACACACGCATACACACACATCCTATTAAAGTTTAGAAATAAATAGAATGAAAATATGTGTGAAGAACACTATAAATCTTTAATCAGGATTACAAAAAGCTAACTATATGGATAGATGCCATGTTATAGATGGAAAGACTCAATATTTTTAAAACTATAATTCCTTCAAAAATATCATACAACATCCACGTAAATAACAATGGCACAGGGCTGCTGATAATATTTGGCAGGAATAAACAGGCAAGCATTAACTGCTAATTTTTAAAAAAAGAATGAAAATGAGGAGGCACTTATTCTACCGATTCATATATTATAAAGCTCAGGTACACAAGAGTACCTGAGAAACAGAAACCTTGCCCATTACTAGACATTTATACTACTATGTCAATGACATTATTTTTAATTCTTTTGTTTCATTCCCCATAATAAGAATAGAAATTAATTTAGGGAGAGAAACTTGTTCTCTTCTTGCTTGTACTTTGTGCAGCAGCACACGGATTTTTAATGTGTATGTAGCGTGCCCTTAATATAGGCATTTTGTATTTATTTGAATGTAATTAAAAATTTCAACACTAGAATATTCCCATCATAATAAAGAGCCTGACCTCATTTGTGTTGCTGGCTGCTGACTTCTTTTTAAGCCTTACCCTCCCTTTCTTTGGCCCCACATCTGTACAGTCTGATTAAGAAAGGCCATCCTACATCTACTTATTTGACACCTGTAGGAAACTTGAGCTTCTCAAATCTCCAGCCCGCATGAGTGGGAACCTTTTGCCAGCCCTAACCCCTAGTCAACAAAAAGGCCCAGGCCACTCCCTCTGTTTTGTCCAAACCAGCCTGAATCTGTCTGGGGCCATTCTGCTCTTCTTGGGAGTCTCTATGTGAGTAATGAACTTTCTTTCTCACTTAATGTGTGGAGTATCACCAGCATTGACATCTAAATAGGTGACCAAAAACACTCATATGATGCAAAAAGTAATCCAATTTTTTTTTCTAAAAATCCATTTTTAAAGTCAGTTTGAAATGTGAGACAAAAATATAAAATTGAACATTTGTAATCATGTACATTATTCAAACTGAGTTTCTTGACACAAAGAATGGATATATTTCTTTAAAATGTGACACTGGGGCAGAAGCTGACAGGGACAAATGTACACATAGTCCCACAAAATAAAATTTCATAATTATTGTATTAAATAATTGTTTTGGTTATAAATTTTCTAACAGCAATATCTTACATATTGAATTTCTACATGAAAAATACTGACATATTATGGTGTCTCTCTTTCCTTCCTCCTGATCCTCTCACTAAAGTGTTTTCTAAGCAACCTCCTAAACTATTATTTTGTCTTGGTATGAAAGCTTCAGAAGAAGAAATATATTCAGGATCCTGCATCCTAGCCAAACCATGAATTAATAAATTGGCAGGATTAGAATCATGTTCAACAACCTCCCTTGGATTTATACCTGCCAGCTCTCTACATAGATAAGGCTGGAAGATTTTGGCAACACCTTGAGGCTAGATTAGACTTATTCATTTTTCAGTTGAAAAGTCTTTCTCTGCCAATATATTCAATACATTTAATTCTCAAGTACTTTTGTTGATAACAGCCAAAATTCTCATTAAAATTATCCTTGGCAAAGAAGACACAGCATTACTATGGTTTGAAATCCCCACCAAAACTCATCTTGAAATGCAATTGCCATTGTAATGGTATTGAGAAGTAGAAACTTTAAGAGATAAATAGATCATGAGAGTTTTGCCTTCATGAACGGATTAATGCTGTTATTGCATTAATAACTATAATGGGTTAATTGTCACAAGAGTTTGGTCCCCTTTTTGTCTCTGTCTCATGCGCTTGCTTGCCATGTGGTGTCCTTTCACCTAGGATAACCCTTATCAGATGCCAGCTCCAAGCCCTTGGATTTCCCAGTTCCAGAACTGTGTGCCAAATAAATTTCTGTTCTTAATAAACTACGAAGTCCATGGTATTCTAGCAGCAGAAGACAAATCAAGAGAGAAAACTGGTACCAATAAGTGGAGCTGTTGTTATAATAAATACCTGAATATGTGGAAGTGACTTTGGAACTGCATAAAGGTAGAGGCTTGAAGAATTTGAAGGATCAGACTAGCAAAAAAACTGTACTGCTGTGAATAGAGCTTTAAGAACAATTCTAGTGAGGACTTGGAAGAGGAGAGCTGTAGAGAAAGTCTGAATCTTCTTAAGAGTTTATTTAATTTGTTGTGACCAGAATACTCATAAAAATACGGAGAGAAAAGGACATTCTGGTGAGGTCTCAGACAGAAATGAGTAATAGGGTATTGGAAACTGGATTGAAAGCCATCCTTGCTGTAAAGTAACAAACACCCTGGCTGAATTGTGGCCATATTCTAGGACTTTGTAGAATTCAGAACTTAGGGGCAATGAACTAGAATATCTGGTTGAAGAAATTTCTAAACAGCAGAGCATTCAGGCTTCTGCCTGGCTACTTTTACCTGTACATAACATAATAAGATGTGAGAAAAATAAACGACTTAAAGATAGATTTTATATTAAAGACAGAAGCAGACAAAAAATCTGAAAAACTTACAGGGTGGCTATGTAAAGAGTGAAAACCTATGTTCAGGGACAGGCATGGTGGCTCACACCTGTAATCCTAGCACTTTGGGAGGCTGAGGCAGGCAGATCATGAGGTCAGGAGATCAAGAACGGCCTGGCCAACATGATGAAACCCCGTCTCTACTAAAAATACAAAAAATTAGCCAGGTGTGGTGGCATGTGGCTGTAGTCCCAGCTACTCAGGAGGCTGGGGCTGGAGAATCACTTGAACCCGGGAGGCAGAGGCTGTAGTGAGCTGAGATTGCACCACTGCACTCCAGCCTGTGCGAGACTGTCAAAAAAAATTATATATATATAATATTCAGGAGAGAATATCAAGGGTGCAGTCAAGTACTATTTGCTAAAGATATTAACATGGCTACAAAGGAGCGATGTGCTATTTATCAGGACAATAGGAGAAAGATTTAAAAGGAATTTCAAAAGTCTTTGAAGCTGCTGCTGCCCTCACAGTCTCTCGGAAGGCAAAATGATTTCAGGGGATATGCCCAAGGCACTCATCATGGGCTCCCTGTCCAGGGCCACCTAGCAACTCTTCTCCCCTTATTCCAGTGTAACATTCTTCACCTGCCCTAGTTGTGGCTCAAGTGGACCCAGGTAAAGCTTGGGCTGTCATTCTGCAGAGTGCAAGTAGTAAGCTGTGGTATCATCAATATGGTGTTACACCTTCAGGCATACAGTGTAAGAACTCTGGCTATGGATTCCTCCACTAAAGTTTCCAAGGATGTCACAAAGAGCATGAAGACTCAGGCAGAGACTTGTCTCCAGGGTCAAACCACCACAGAGAGCCCGTACTAAGACAATGTTGAGTAAAAATGTGGGTTTGGACTTGCCACAAAGAGTTTCCACTAGGGCAATGACTACTGGAGCTATGGAAGTGGGACCATCCCTAAGACCACAGAACTGTAGGACTAAAACAGCATGTGACTCTAA
This sequence comes from Homo sapiens, assembly GCF_000001405.40. Taxonomy (NCBI): domain Eukaryota; kingdom Metazoa; phylum Chordata; class Mammalia; order Primates; family Hominidae; genus Homo; species Homo sapiens. Next base: position 93,226,603 of record NC_000004.12, on the reverse strand, counting down.
CCTGTGAAAGCTGCAGAAGCTGGGTCCAGCAAAGCCCTGGGAGCAGGGTTGCCTGAGGCCTTGCGGGCCCAATCCCTGTCTCAGCGTATCCAGAAATGAGGACATGGTGTAAAAGGATATTGTTTCTCGGCTTTATGACTTAATATTATTTTTCGTGTTGGGTTTTAGACTTACTTAGGACCAGTTATTGTTCTTTTCTTGCCTATTTCTCTGTTTTGGAATAGAAATGTCTATCCTATGACTGTCCCACCATTGCATTTTGGAAGTAGATAATCAGTTTTGAATTCATAGTTTCACAGCTGGCAGAAATTTGCGTCATGATGAATCATGTGAGTCTCTTCCATATCTGATTTAAATAAGACTCTGAAATGTGGACTTTTGAGTTAATGCTGAAACAAGTTAAAACTTTTGGAACTATAGGGATAGAATGAATATATTTTATATGTGAGCGGGACGTGAATATTGGGGGTCAAAGGATGGAATACTATGATTTTAGTGTCCCCTCCTAAACTCACATTGAAACTTAATTGCTATTGCAATGGTATTAAGGATAGGGACATTGAGGTGATTAGATCATGAGGATGCCACCTCGTAAATAGATTAATGCCCATATAATGGGAGTGGATTAGTTATCCAGGAAGTCTTGGCCCCCTTTTTCGCTCTATCTTGTGCAGCTGCTCAGCATGTGATGCTCTTCTGCCATGAGATGACCCTCTCCAGATGTGGGTGCCATGGTCTTGGACTTCCCAGCCTTGAGAATCATAAGCCAAAAAACTTCCATTTTTTATATATTTCCCAATTTGTGGTAATCAGTTAGAACAGCAGAAAAGGGACTGATACAAGTACCAAGAGAAAGATCCAGGCTATTCTCTATTTAAAATATTTATTTCCTCTACTTCTAGTTTTTGTACACCTAGTTCACTTCTAATATTAAAGTTTTATATTTTACTCTGACTTTTTAAGGGCATTTATATTTCAATTGACTAGCTATTTTTCTTTGGGTTTCAGGAAAGAAAGGAAAATACATGCAGAAAGAAAAAGGATGGGTAAAATACAGAATATAAACTTCCAAATGTCTGTCTCCTTTGTGTAAAGGGTATAGGAGAATTTGTTTGTTTTATTAATCATTTCATTTTAAATCCAAGAGGCGGTACAAGACAAATGGAAAATGTCAAGAAGGATGACATGACAAAGAGTCTAATAAACTGCAGAATGCTTATACCACTGAGAGGAGCTAAACAACATAAACTGCCTTCTGGGAATGGAACAGGTAGCTAAGCCAAACAGATTCACAGCTGGAATAAGCAACACATGGACAGTGAAGAGGAATAATGCAATCAGTTACCCCAAATAGTTCACAAATGCTGCAACATATTATCTACTTATGAATCCTATCCTTATCATGAGATAAATTAAAGGCCATCACATCCAGTGTCTTACCATGTATATTATCTAACTGAAAAAGTGCTAATTAAGTCTACTGTTAATTTTTTTAGTGGATGGCGTGTGTTTTTTTAAAAGCCTTTTGTATTTTGCGACAGGCACCAAAACAATTTCAGTATCTCTAATGCTAATGACATAGTCAAGTGGGTATATCTCAACCACAATTTTTTTTACTTGCTTAAAACTCCCTTATAAATAAATAAGGAAGCCTCCCCTTTTTATATGTTGATGACTCTCTCACCTTTTTTCTTTTTCAATATTTAATTTCCCCATTACACTGTTTTGTGCTTAGAATTTGTAGAAATATTAAAGAGGAAACCCTTTTTCTAAAATATGTCAAATAATTATTTACCATATCCTTTTTACATGAAAATTAAGAAGTTACCTTCTTGATGGTCTCCAACATGGAGCGCCCACCCTGCCAGGGCTTTGAGTTCTTTCTGATACATGACAGACTTGCCATGCTGTGCCACTTTCGGTCCTCCAGCTTCTTATGAAAAGCATTAGCAAGCAGAAGCACCGTGTCATATATGTAAAGGTTGGAAATCTGAAAAGACATTAGAAAGTGATCATTAGAATCATTGACACCAGTCATCAGGAATAAGGAAAAAAAATAATTGTCTCAACTGCTTCTGTTCATGTCATACATGGCTGGTTTACTGGGTTATTAAGCAGAAGGTTTCTTTTGTCATTTCCTGGGCAATTTTGTCATTGAGAATGAAGTCTTGTCTGATTGTATGCCTCAATTGCTTTTTCAGCTTATTTAGGTGTGAAAGAGAAGATTAAAAAAGGAAAGAAAGAAATTTCGACAGAGATAAGGCTGTTAGTGTTAGACCTTAGAAAATCATTGGCCCTTATTTCTCTCTGAGGAGGTAAGAATCTAAGGGTTTAAGATTGGAAGGGCAAACTGAATAATACATTTTCTGAATATGTTAAGTTTTTGCATTCTAGTTATTCAGATGGAAAAATATCAACTTGATTTCATATATGAATGTCATAGGTACCTAAAAAAGAAGTAGTCTACTGTGTGTATTTTTGTGTATATGGAGATTCTTAAATGAAATAATGAAAGAACACAATCTTTTATATGTATTATAGTGATCAAGGATCTATACAAAATTATACAGGTATACACATGCATTACAATTCATTGATTTCACAAATACCATAAACTATTAACTGTTTGTGAATGTGTGTTTACATTAATACTTTCTTCTTCTGAAACAACCATGTTATTAACTTCTTTCTACATAGATTGAAAAATAAATTATAGCCAATTTTTTGCTAAGGTTTTACTGTATTCTTACAATTAAGTTTCACCAGAACTACTATTTATACTGTCAATTAATCACCAAAGGTGCTTATTTTTCAAAGAAGTTAAAAATTTTTTGGAAAACATAATACCAAAAGGAATCCTAGGTCAATAAAAGCTGCTTCATGTTATATTTCCTCTGAAGGAAAAACTCTATATAAAATAAAAAAAATGAGGAATCAATGTAGTGATGAAAATTAATTCCATCTTAAAGCATTTGTGTTTTTCAGATTTTTGAAAGTATATTGTTATCACGGTTTTTCCTAAAAACATACAGGAGACTATATGGATTGTCCTCGGGTTATAATTAATCATGGAGGAAATTTTTAAAATAGTCTACCCACATCACAGGATGGTACTAAGCTTTGGCTATTGAGATAATTAGAGTCTGATGCAATGCACAGCTTTTAATAAGAACTTCCTAACAGTGCCTTGTGAGTTTTCTTTTACATACCATGTAAATCTTCAATCCTTTGTGTTTGTTAAATATCATTTTATATGTATAATACTTGTAGGCCTTTTTTGAAGAGACATTGAACACTCAATGCATTACGTGCAATACAAGTTTGTCCTTCATAAGGAAGTATTAGGACTGGCTATTTTCACTCCCTATCCCAGCCACTCCCCATTTTGCCTGATAATTACTAGATAGACTACAAAAGAATGGCTGAAGTCTGCTATACAGCTAAAACTAGTCCATGAATCAACATTCAGGTTGGAATTAGGCAGTAAAGACCCAACAGGAAAATATAGAAGTTACATGAAGGATACATGCCCAGGGAAATCAAAATAATACACAACCTTCTGGCCTTTCCTAACCCCTCCTGGTTCTACTGCCTGAAACTTGCTTCCTTTTACTTTTCTAGCTTTATTTTACTCTTCCCTTTGGTGAACGTGTATTTAAGATTGTTGGGGTATCATTGATGGACATTTGGGTTGGTTCCAAGTCTTTGCTATTGTGAGTAGTGCCGCAATAAACATACGTGTGCATGTGTCTTTAGAAAATGTGGCACATATACACCATGGAATATTATGTAGCCATAAAAAATGATGAGTTCATGTCCTTTTTAGGGACATGGATGAAGCTGGAAACCATCATTCTCAGCAAACTATCACAAGGACAAAAAACCAAACACCGCATGTTCTCACTCATAGGTGGGAATTGAACAATGAGAACACCTGGACACAGGATGGGGAACATCACACACCGGGGCCTGTTGTGGGGTTGGGGGAGGGGTGAGGGATAGCATTAGAAGATATACCTAATGTAAATGACAAGTTAATGGGTGCAGCACACCAACATGGCACATGTTTACGTATGTAACAAACCTGCACATTGTGCACATGTACCCTAGAACTGAAAGTATAATAAAAATATATATATATATATATTTAAAAAAAAGATTGTTGGGGTAGCATCCCTCACTATCTCCTTACCTTTCTCCAACTAGTTAACATTTCTCAATATTTGGTTCAAAGCTTACATGCTAGGAGAATCCTACCCTGCCAACTTCTGATTTTCTTTCCTTATCCTACACAAGGTTGAGCACCTCTTTTCATCTACCGGAACACACAGTGCATACGTCTTTGAAACATATCAGAATACTAAATTCTTTTTTAAATCTACCTTTTCCACAAAAAAATAAATTCCTCCTGGATGGGGACTCATACTGTACATCTTTTCTCTTCCATTTTTCCCCGTAATTTATTTCTCTAAGACTTAGCCTAGAGCCTCGCACATATTTGGGTTTTGATAAACAGTTGTGAAGTAAAAGAAGACGAAGGATGGAGAGAGGAGAAAAAAAGAAAGTCAATTTTAAAGCTAGGTGTGTTTGGCAGACGTTGAGACACGAAAAATCTGGTAACCTGGGTTCTATCCAAACCTGACACTGCTGGGGCACATTCTCTTTTGCAGACCGTGAGGCATGTATTTTGAGCATCTATGCTAGTCTTAAAGGTGAGTGCTTCGTACCTGTTACATGACAGGCATTTTCAATAAATGACTACGTCTCCTCATTTGTCCACATTCCAAACTGCAGGATCAAGAAGTGGTGGTAATATTCCCTGAGCTTTTCATTACCCCTCCTAATCTGACACTTTTTCTTTTGCAGGCAAGTGCCCATTCTTTGAGCTTCACACTCTTTCCTATGCTACACTTTATTGCTTTTTTCTGTCATCATTAACTGATCTTTTGGTAATTTTATTTTATTTGTAAGGCCTTTGACTCCTCCTTCACAATAATACCAAACTATCTCTCATCATTTTAAAAGGTCACTTCAATTTCTGTACAGATGATCTTCACTTCTACTTAGGCCTCAACCAACACAAATGACCATTTACTGGACAGAAACATACATCACCTCTAAAATCATAGACTCCAGTATGTCACATATGACCAATCATTTCTCCCTACCTTACTGGCACTACACTTATTCTTTGACATCACCAAATCTCCACACTCACCTCCTCTACATGACAAGCTTTCAATATTTGACACCATCTGTGGCTTGCTTTGAGATATCTTTCTTTTAGTTTTCATCACCTGGTATCGTTTCTAGGCTGATCATCTTAGTTCTCTTTCTCTGTCTTTCTCTTGTGTTTCAATGTTTCTGTTAAAAATTTAGTATCCAGAATTGACACATTATTACAGATGTGATCTGACTAGGAGAGAATAGTGTAAGACATTAGATCTCTTTATCTTAGCAAAATTCTTCTGACATAGAGACCACGATTATATTAAAATAGTTACAGCAAATATGATTTGTGTGATACACACACTGAATTTACCTTCAACTTAAGGGATCTGAACAGCTGTCAAACCAGGATTCTTCATGTAATTGATTTTGAACCTATACTTTATCTGTGCTTTTTCAAATTTAGGCTTATTATTCAGTCAACACTAACAATTTGGAACTTGATTATCTAATACAACATAAGCTTTCTCTTCTAGCTTTATGCCATTTACAAATTTGATAGGCATGTTTTATTCATCTTCATTCACGTAGTGATAGACGTTTTAAAAATATTAGGTCCAAGAATAGAATCTTGTGAATGACCATAGACAGTTCCTTGCATTTCAGGAATAGAATGTTTATCACTGCAGTTTGAATATTCATCTGGTTCTACAATCCTCAAACTCTGGACAAAAGAAACCCTGGTGGTAGGTTGTGGATATCAGGAAGTACTCAAAGCCACCGAATACATCTAAGGCATATTCTAGTCATATCAATATTGCTTGAAGATTTGATTGATTTATTTAGATATCAATTTTGTTTGAATATTTGGAGAAAAACAACTAGTTTAATTGGCAAATAATTTGAAGTATTACTTTTAATTGTATATACACAAATGTTATAACTTTTAAAGGTAATAATGAGACTTAAATATTTTTGAGCTTTATTTTGCTTTCTGTCTGAGGCCAGAGTGTTCACTATCTTCTGCCTTTAGGAACCCTTTGGTGAAAATGTTTCAGTGTCATCACTCTGTCAAGACTTTTCAATATCTTTCCTAAGGATTTCAGGTAAAAATTTGTCAAACACCACATAAAAATCAACATGTAACACATAGATTTATGACATTCTCCCAATCTAAAAAAATATATATATATATAAATAAAGGCTTAGTTTGGCAGTGTTTGTTTTTAAGGAAGCCCTGTTGTCTTATCTGAGGTACTCCAAACCATTGATTTAATAATATATTCTACAGTTTATCTACATAGTAACATTTAATATGCTAAACTCCATGAGAATCTTTTTTCCTTCCTTTCAGTAATTGGGACAATACACCAATCTCTTGTACCTTGGTCCTCTTCCTAAGTGTTTCTCCAGTATTTCTGAGCTATCATATTTTGATCGTTCCTGCTGGCTGATTGGCTACTCTGAGCAATTATTTGGCAAGCCTAATTCAAAGCAGTGCCCCTACTCTTGCTATCTCCCTGCTCCTTCTGAACCAGTGGAATATTTTCTTTTAATGAATTTTACTCTAACCTTCCCAATTTGAAGACAATTTTTCTTAGATGGAGAAAGGAGCAAAAGTATTAGAATGTTTCTGTTTTCTCTCCATTAGCAGCCAAACTAACATTAGTTCCACTAAGCAGTAAATGGATCACTTCCTGCTTGTTACATATGTTGCAAAAACACCATTTTCTAGCTAAAAGGTGTTCTTTAATATTTATTTTGCAACTTAAGCTAATCCTGGGTTTCAGTCTTTGGACACTAATTAAAAAATTTGTGAAATGCATTTTCTGTTTTTTCTAAATTTTACTTCTCTGTCTATGTATATTAAAATAGGTAACAGTCTAGAGATCAAATTCTATCATACATAAGAGGGATGTTCACATGTAACAAATCCTCAACGCAAAAGTAGTTTTCTTGTTTTCTTCCATCTGTGGGTTTGACAGGACCAAGATGAAGGTATGAGTCAGGAGGAAGTTGGTGCTTCCCCATACTTTATTGTTTCAGGTAAGATTAGGAATATAGACATAAATAAAATATTTGTTCACAGATATTGAAGTCCTCATCAACTGAAATGGAAAGATTATGTTGTTAGGCAAATATGCTGTAAAATAATTTCTGCTGTCCCTAAATGACACAGTCAATAATTTTTCTTAAGTTTGTATTTCATTTCCTGATACTTCTTTTAACAAACACAACTTTTAATATTTTATAATTTTCTAAATCAAAATTCTTTCCTTTTTTTCTATTTAGAATTCTATCATTTTCACATCAATTATATCCATGACCAGTTAAAATGCAAACATGGGACATTATAAGCATATTGATATGGTTTGGCTGTGTCCCAATCCAAATCTCATCTTGAATTGTAGTTCCCATAATTCCCATGTATCATAAGAGGGACCTGGTGGGAGGTCATCAAATGATGGGGATGATTATCCGTTTGCTATTCTCATGATAGTAGTGAGTTTTCACAAGATCTGATGGTTTTATAAGCGGCTTTTCCACCTTTTGCTCAGCACTTGTCTTACCTGCTGCGATGTGAGGAAGGACATGTTTGCTTCCCCTTTCACCATGAATGTAAGTTTCCTGAGGCTTCCCTGCCCTGAGGAACTGTGAGTAAATTAAACCTCTTCCCTGTACTTTATGGCAGTGTGAGAATGAACTAATACACATATAGATAAGGGTGGAACTGAAATTTAAAGAGATGTTGTTAAGGCTTCAGAAGATTTACTTTGACTATTGCCTTCTCCTTAATTACATTCAAACATATATATTCACACAGATCCAAAGCACTGTGGTAATTATGATGGAGGAAATGGTAGAGAAGCACGTTATGAGTACTTATGATGCTGGGTTCTTGAAGGGACATATCTATTTATTTTGAAATAGGGACTCACTTTGAAACCCAGGCTGGAGGCTGGAGTGCAGTAGCACAATCTTGGCTCACTGCAGCCTCGACCTCTAGGGCTCAGGTGATTCTCCCACCTCAGCCTCCTGAGTAGCTGGGACTACAGGAGGATACCACCACACCTGGCTAATTATTATTATTATTTTTTTCAGAGATGGGGTTTTGCCATGCTGCCCAGGCTGGTCTCAAACTTCTGGGTTCAAGTGATTCTCCCCCTTGACCTCCCAGATTGCTGGGATTGTAGGTGTAGCCACTGCACCTGGCCATGGAAAGGACCTATTCTAAAGGAGCTTAAAATCTAGTAGGCAACAGAAAGTTACAGGGTAATGATCCTGGAGCCAGTCCACGTACTACAGTGATAGTAATTAGAAGAAATGGTTGGATAAATGGCAAATCCTTTTTTAAAAATTCAAAGGTGACTAAGGATAGGGAGGTTGTGGGGTTATTTTTCAGATTAGTTTTGCAAAAGCACCTTATTTATCTAGTATTATTAGAGAGGAACTAGTTTTCCTAGGGTTATATTTCCAAACTGTTAAAACTGAAAATCTCTAAGTACTAAAATGTTTCCTATGGTAAATATTTTAAAGAACAAGTTTCTAAAATATATTAGGTTTTGCTTACTTCTAAGATTGGCCATGACTTTAATATTTGCTAATATCTCAGGGTTATTGTTTAAATATTAACTTATATGCTAGCATTATACTGCAGTGATACCTTTAGGAGTTGTTTTATGGCACAGATTTGTTTTTGCAGGAAGAGTCCTATACTGACAGGTTATATGAGTTAGTTTATCTGATTGATTTTTTTCCCGTCTCTTGCTTAAGAGGGCTCCTTAAGGCTCCCTGCTGTTGTCCTGTGTGCCTGCTTTGTGTAACACCCCCTTCAGATTGACATATTGAGATCTCCAGAGCAAAGTGAAAAAAAAACCACAGAGGCTTTTTCTTAAGAAAAAGAAATAGGCTTCAAGTAAGTATTTAAAGGGCATTCTTATGAGTAAGCTACAGGGACTTGGTGTTCTCTGTTTCGCTGTTCAGAGGTTTTATTTATATCTTTCAAATTCTTTGTTGTATTCTGGATGCTGAAGGTTTCAGCTATATCCTCTCGGAGTTGGATATGACCATACAATTCTACAGCACTTTTTTCATATCTAATTTTTTTTGTTGGAGTTATTCAAACTGGAGACCAATCTTTTTAAAAAGAATAAATATCTATGTCCTTCTTAGGCCAGAAAAGTCAAGCACATTTATTAGTTTAATAATTTAGAGTTTGGAAAAAGGAGTACCAATTACAAATTCTCCTGTGGGAAATGTTATGGACCTACTTGTTTAGAAGAAAATAACCTTTACTTATTATATTTTTTTATTAAGCAAGTAGAAATTTTTCTATAATGAGATCAAAAAGAACAAAGACGCAAATTCTTAGCACTTTCTCCCCATTAGACTTATGAAATTGCTGGAGGAGAATTGTTCAGAAATAACACGTATAATTCTGAATCCAATGCAACTCATAAAGCTCTCCTTGCAATTGCCCAACAAAGCACCCTGGAAGAAATATCCTGTCATTTATAATATACCTCCATATTCTGAGCAAATGGATCCTTTGGATCACACAATGTTGAAGATATTCGATGGTTGCCACGGAAACACCGCTGACTTATGTTCTGGGGAACTGGAAATGTCTGCCGAATAATCGTTAACCTTCCAATTGACCTTCTTACAAGTTCCTGTACGTCCACATCGTTTATTTCCTATAAGATAAGAGGTGGAAGAATTAGAGATACTTTAATACAGTCACAAAACACAAACCTATTATGAGTTGTTATCTGTAAATGTTAGGGATTCTGTTACTGTAATATATTGGTTTTAATGCTTAGTGCATATCTAAATGAAAGCAACATATTTTTGTTAAAATTATCAACTCATTTGTAGTTGCTTTCTATGCTTTAAATTATATACATTAGTGCCTAAACAATGCTAAATGGAGCAATTGTCTTACATATGGTTATTAACAATAAGTTTATAATTTATAATGTTGAACATTGTAGAAACATAGGTGTGGTCAAAACATTTAAAAAGGTCACAAAGTAAGTTGCTATTATAGTTTATTATTAATTAATACTATTACTTTGAGTATCTAGGAAGGTAATTGCCATGTAAGAGTTATACACACGCACATACGCATGCATACATACGCACACATACACACACACACATGCACACACACACATAATTAGCAATGAAAAATTTGGCTTTTAACTGAGGCAAGTAGAGCAAGAGGATATATAAGTTTTTCTAATAATTTATTAGAATTGTTGATGTTAACTCGTATGTTTCTCTTGGTAAGGAATAGATGAAAAATTCTGTTGTTTAATACAATCTGAATCAGGATGAGATGAGAGAGAAACCCAGTGCTCTTTATCTAAATTAATTTTATCTAAACAAATTTTATCTATTCTAAATGGAATTAGGATAAAAGTGATTAAAATAAATTTTAGTTTTAAGGTAGTCTTTACTAGAGAAGTTGGTGCTTAATAGTGTTCATTTGGAACCTTTACAACGAATGAAGTCTTTGTAATTAACATACTATTGGTTTCAATCAATTTTTACGGCAACAGAAATAAAAGATGGGAAACAAAATAAGTTTTGGGTTGCAGTGAGCATTTCTGAGGTTTGATCTAAGAAATTATTACAAAAAAAATGAAAGAAAACAGATAATTCATAGGTGTAAATGTTCTTTTTTTCTTACCAGATTAATTACATATTATTCTTGTAGCATATGTTAGATTCAAAAATCGTCCTTTATATATGATCTTTATGAAGTGTAGATTTTTCTGAAAATAAAATGATGCCTCCCATCAGCTAGCTCTAGTGTAATAGCCTGGATTTCTGGGCATTTAATCAATCCTTAATGTTCCATAAAAATGGTTTTTCTCAGTTTAAAATGCCGTCTTTTTCCTTTAGTCTGTGTCATTTCACTGGCCACCAAAAACTTTGTCTGTCAAAGAGCAGGTCACTTTTAAATTCTATGTAATCTACTCACAAAGTAGGATTAAACGGTATCCTGTCAACTCCATTTGAAGTCCTGATTTTAACCAGACATCTTTTAAAGTTAATTAATATTAATATTGCTATTCAATGTCTTCCAATTTTTTAAATTCCAAATGATACAGACAGGAACTTTCATTTGAAGGCAGTGGAAAATTGTATGACTTTTCTCATAACATTAACTAAGTTGTTTTATGTATATGGTATTTTTTTTTGCTTTAGCAATACTAAGATTTATCAACATTTTATCAAACAGCAGCATCTCTATCTACACCACTCATAATGAACTACAAATCAGCATATTGGATAAAAATTCACATTTAATAAGTATCTACTATATGTTAAGCAAAATACTAATTACTTTATTATCTCATTTTCTGCTAACAGATGATACTCTGAATCAGATGCTATTTATTCTCAGTTTATAAACAAAGATTCAGGAAGACTTGAAGCTCTTCATTCATAATACTCTACTCATAGGATGAATTTATAAATGTCATCAAAAGAAACAGTCTCTGAAGAAGTTATACATGCCCATATTTCCTTACAGGAATTATTTAGATTAATATTTATGAATGGTAGAAATTAAAACTGTAAAGATACATTATTTCAGCATTTAATTTCCTGATGATTCTGGAAGGAATGATGTAGTCATCTATCATGAGCCAAATCCTTTAAGAGGACATTTTTCAAACCCACAAAAAGGGAAAAGGGGTGGTTACCTTTTATAGGTTTCCAAAGATGAAGTTCTCAGGCACCTAAACAACTAAAATATATCTGAAGAAATGTCAGTTTGAATTGAGTGTATTTTGCCTATTATTATTTGGGGAAGGGAAGAGAAAGTAATTTTCTGGGAAGAAAGAATCTGTCATTCTGAAAGAAACTAACAGACAATCTGTCTCAAAAAATTCACTTGCAATTTTAGTCTTGACATGTGATCTCAAAAACAGTTTAACAGTGATATGAAAACTTGATTAGGCAGCTATTTTATATTTACGGAACTTTACTTGCGCATTTCAAAAGGGGCATTTCGAGAGTGGCAGATGCAAAGTTATATAAACACTGAAAGACAAGTGATCATTTAATCTATAAAGAGATCCATTTAAATGGAAAAAAGTCCAGAAATAAACTTGTGTATTAAAATGTTATACAATGTACTAGGATCTATATTATCCTAATGCTCTGAATTTTTTAAAAAATGTTTAAACTGTCAGATTTTTTAAAATAATCATGTGAAGAACTAGTTTACCAATAAAGCACTCACTCTCCCAAGCCCCCAGCACCATTAAATATCTTAATCTTTTAAAAGATATAGAGTATTCCTGAGCTCTAAGTAATTTAAAGAACCCAAATTATAAAATTATTTTCCTTCTTATATTCTTTATTTTATTGAGTATATTCATAAAAGTAGAATTAACATTGCAATAACAAATGATTAAGTATTTTTTAGCGACTTAACTTTTCTATTTTACTTATTTAGGCTAAGGAAGCCTTTTTTCCCAAAAATAATTTACCTAGATACTTGAAAACTACTAAGAATCAAAGTCAATATGTCCGACAAAATATTCTTATTCACTTTGCTTTAATAATTTAATGTCGGTTGAATCCTGAACTGTGAAAGCCCCGAGGAAGAAAAAAGGAATGCTAAAATATCTTCTGGGGATACAACTCCATCTAGAAACAGCCATTTCCCAGAAGAAATCTCTTAGGAGAATTGAATCATTTCTGAATCCTTGTAGTATATCAGCTTTAGGTTGAAATGAATAAGATTGTGGGAAGAAAAGACTCTCAAAATCCATTGGATCAGATGCCAATTTAGACTAAAAATAACAATTTCAGAGGAATAGTTTCCTTTTTCCCATTCTTATACCTCTTAGCATCTAACAAATATTTTGGCTTATAGTAGGTATTCAATAAATGTTGATAAATACAAAATTTATTTAATGAATGAATGGTAAGATTTTATCATCTTCTAAAGACTTATACCTGAAATTTTAATTCTAGACACCAGAATACTTTAAAATGTTAAACAATTCTAAATAAAGAAGATTTTAGTATTAAGATTAAGCCCTCTACTATGTGGTGTTTGTTTCTTATTTGTTTGTATTTTTCATATTTTAGCAAAGATGACCCTTTGATGCTTCCATAAAATTTAACATTAATATGAATCAATTAGGCAAATGTTAAAAAATGGAACAAATCCAACTGTAGGCTATGTACCAACAGGAAGAGAAGCAGGATGGCAACTTTCTACTTGAAAGCTTAGAAGTGAGCAGTTCAATTCATCATTAAACTAGAAAAAATTAAAAACATCCATTACACATATAGGCTTTTTAAATCTCAAAACAACAACAAAACCCCCCAAACTGGCCAGGCACGGTGGCTCACGCCTGTAAACCCAACACTTTGGGAGGCTGAGTTGGGCAGATCACCTGAGGTCAGGAGTTCGAGACCAGCCTGGCCAACATGGTGAAACCCCATTTCTACTAAAAATACAAAAATTAGCCAGGCGTGGTGGCACATCCCTGTAATCCCAGCTACTTGGGAGACTGAGGCAGGACAATCGCTTGAACCCAGGAGGAAGAGGTTGCAGTGAGCCAAGATCGCGCCATTGTACTCCAGTCTGGGTGACAAGAGTAAAACTCTGTCAAAAAAGAAAAAAAAAACAACAAAAAACCAAACCAACAACTTTCTCATTAAATGTAATACTCAGCAGTGATTAACAGAGAATAATGTCTTACACTATTCAAATTAAGTAAAAAGCCAGTAAAGTCAATCAAGACAACAAAGGTCATATTTGATATTATCAGGCAATAGAAGGGTATATGAAGCATTGTGCTTCTTGCAGCTCTGAACAGTGCACGTCTTCCTATCTGAATTTCTAACTTTTGTAAAACTTAAATAAAGTGTTAAGCCATCTGCTTCAGGGCCCTGAAGGGATGACAATACTTGCACGGAAAGGCTGCTCTGAGCTGGATCCACTGATTGCGGGGAGAAGATAAATACTATTACCAAGTACTAACATATGATTGATTACACCATATGAGCTAGCACAGCCTCTCATTATTATAGCACACTTAATGCAAATGAAAAAAATATATTGTTTTCAAGTTTCTACATTAATTTCTATCATGATGCACAATGCCAACTTTGATTTATATTCCCTCCTTTAAAAACTATTGATGCAATAAGATTAAATCAATGTCTGCAACCCATTTTAAAATTAGCAACAAAATAATAGCTACACAAACAAAACTAGACAGATTCATGTTCTCCACGTTCAGCCAAAACGGGCATTTGCATCTTTTGAGGGTTTTTTTTATTATTACATTTAGAGTTTAGTAGCTTCCTAGCAATATTGAGAAATCCATGTTTTTTTTTTCTTTTATAGAAACTAGGGAAAATTATAATTCATCCATTATAAATTCCCATAAACAAGCATGTAAATGAAAAGTGTGCAAGAAAAATGTAAGTCATTTTCTGAGGCATATTTCAGAATAAAGTGGATGAATGAGAATAAGTATGCGGGTGAATGGAATAATTTGAAAGTAAGAGTGTTGATTTTGGATATACCAGCCAATAATGGTTTTTGTTTATTTTTTTATGGGTTAAAATACAGAAAACATTTGCTCATTATCTGAGTTTTAACCTTGTTCAGATAAAAGTGCTAACCTGTGTAATGTAAATGGTATGGGTTGTGAACATTGTATTTTTAAGAGGCTAGGCAGTGTGGCTTGCCCAAAAGAAATTATACCTCTGCTGGAAGACAAGAAAGTAGGGCTGTGGGTAAGAAAGAGATAACGGTTTCAATGATGGTGATGGTGAAGTTTTATTAGACAATTCACAGTAGAAAACCTAAGTTTGAAGGATAAGAAAATAATTGAGGTCTCCTTAATTATCTCCTAGACTTCTAACATGTATTGAGTTATTTACCAGTGAGATTGCTTTGTTTATATGGATGTTTTATTTTGCAAAATAGTGGCCCAAATTATGGAGCATCCACTTAATGACAATATTTTCATTTGTAATATTTTATGAAATAAAATTTAATAAGTTTAAAAACATGAATCATAATGCTTATGAAAAATACAATAAAACATAAATTTTTATTATTTTTTCCATACTATTTATTACCAATGAAATACATGCTAGTCTATTCAGGCTACACCTATACAATATGAAGATGCCATTTCTTCCAAAGTACAAATTGAGTCTTAAACAGTGGGTAAATGACCATGTTGTTCTCAGAAGCTCTATTTCAGTTTATACTTTTAAGTTCAGGTATACTTGTGGAAGCTAAATTGGATATTAAAAAAAATTAATTAAGGGGTTCCTTCTGCAATCTTATCAACCAATACAGGAGAATGGCCATTTCAATTTAGTGATTGTAAGCATTAATTTGTCCAGATTAATCCATTTCTCTAAAGAGGTAAGAAGTCACTTTATTTTTCTAGTAAGGTTGATTGACATGAATAGGTAAAATGACTCTCGCTGGTTTTGCATCAGGAAATCTGTGTAGTCTATATCCTGTCCAAAGTAGGATGTGAAATAAAAACAAAAAATTAGAAGAATCCTTATTTCAAAAAAAGTAATCTAGAAAATAATTAATACAAAAAAGCTAGTGACATAAATAGCTCCCATCAGATTATAACTGAGGCAGTAGAAATTTCAAAAATATAAACCATAAAGATAATTATCAAAAAATATTTATTTATTACCAATTAAATACATGCTAGTCTATTCAGGTTACACCTATATAATATGAAGAGGCTATTTCTCCCAAAGTACAAATTGAGCCTTAAACAGTGGGTGATCATGTTGTTCTCATGGTCAAAAACAAAATTCTAAGTGAAAATGTATCAAAAAGCATGTATCAAAAAACAAAATCCTAAGGGAAAAGAACAAAGCTGGAGACATCATGCTACCTGACTTCAAACTATACTACAGTGCTACACTAACCAAAACAGCATGATACTGGTACAAAAACAGACACATAGATGAATGCAGCAGAACAGATTGCCCAGATATAAGGCTGCATACCTGCAACTACCTGATCTTTGAGAAAGCTGACAACAATAAGCAATGGGGAAAGGACGCTTTCCTTTAATAATAAATGATTGCTGGGATAACTGGCAAGCCATATGCAGAAGATTGAAACTGGACCATTTTATTATACCATATACAAAAATTAACACAAGATGGATTAAAACCTTAAATGTAAAACCCATAACTATAAAAACCCTGGAAAACAACCTAGACATATAAATGGGCAAATATTTCATGACAAAGATGACAAAAGCAATTGCAACAAAAGCAAAAATCGACAAACAAAATTGAATTAAACTAACGAGCTTATGCACAGCAAAAGAAACTATCATCAGAGTGAACAACCTACAGAATGGGAGAAAATTTTTGCAAACTATGCATCTGTCAAAGGTCTATTTATCCTTAAGTTCTACAAGAAACTTAAGCAAATTTAAAGCAAAACCAAACAACCCCATTTAAAAGTGGGCAAAGGACATCAACAGACACTTTTCAAAATAATACATCATATGATCAATAATCATATGAAAGAAAGCTCAACATCGCTGATCATTAGAGAAATCCAAATCAAAACCACTATGAGATACCATCTCACACCAGTCATAATGGCTATTATTAAAAAGTCAAAAAATAACAGATGCTGGCATGGTTGTGAAGAAAAAGGAATGTTTATACATTGTTGGTGGTGGGAGTGTAAATTTGTTCAATCATTGTGGAAAAGAGTTTGGTGATTTCCTCAGAGACCTAAAAGCAGAACTACCATTTCACCCAGCAATCCCATTACTGGGTATATACCCAAATGAATATAAATTGTTTTATCATAAAGACACATGCATGCCTATGTCCATTGCATCACTATTCACAATAGGAATGACATGGAATCAACATAAATACCCACCAACAGTACACTGGATAAAGAAAATGTGGCACATATACATTGTGGAATACTGTGCAATCACAAAAAAGGAATGATATGTCCTTCGCAGAAATATGAATGGAGCTGGAAGCCATTTTCCTCAGCGAACTAACGCAGAAACAGAAAACCAAATACCTCATGTTCTCACTTATAAATGGGAGCTAAATGATGAAAACATATGGACACAAAGAGGGGAACAACACACTTCGGGGTCTACTGAAGGGAAGAGAGTAGGAAGAAGAAAAGGAACAGGAAAAATAACTAATGAGCACTAGGCTTAATGCCTGGGTGACAAAGTAATCTGTACAATAAACCCCCATGACACGAGTTTACCTACATACAAACTTGCTCACGTACCCCTGAACTTAAAAGCTAAAAACAAAACAAAAACAAAACAAAACCAACCAAAGCTTTACACTGAAAAAGATTAAGTTTTAAATTCCATTATCATCACTAATAGTTGTGTAATATTTGCTGAATTGTTTAATTTCTTTGAAACTTAGTTTCCTTGGAGAAAAATTGAAATGAAAATATTTAATTTGAAGGTTTATTAAGTTCCTTTTCCTTTGTCTTTCCCTCTATCCCAACGTTTAGTTATTCCACATGAAAATTAAGACATACTAGAAACTTAGAAGGTACCAGAACTTTATTGAAAAGCAGACCTCCAGATACGTATTGCCTGAGGAAATCTCAGAAAAACCTATCTTATTTTGACATGAGAAATACAGCTAAAATTCATAGAAACCTAATGTTTGGCAGACCAAAAACAGACTTGTAAGGTGTTTTCAGCGTCTTTACTCTGAAATAAAAAGGATCATTCCATCATTGAAGTGTAGTGTAGGAGAAACAACTTGAAACTGGGAATTATTTTCACTTTTCTGTGTAAAAAGAGGAAAATAATTTATTCTCTATGGACCTCATTCCCTCAGTACTTCAGAGAATATGGTTTAGTATTCCATAAGATAATATATAAGGGAATGATCTCTGAATTTTAACGTGATATGATCATTATCGCAGTACCATTCTTGTGTGTCATTTGTCAAGCACTGTGTTAAGAGCACCTGATAATACCTCATTTAACTTTTATTATGAACATGCAAAGTAATTGTTATTATACTTGTCCAAATGAATAAACTGAGGCACAGGAAGCTGATATCCATGTTAAGACAGCTACCAAGTTTTATAGCCAGGATCAAACCTATCTTGCTGACTATAAAACCAGGATTCTTATCCAAAAATACTATTTTGTCCCTAAAAGAAATCTTATTATTCTAGAATTCTGTATTTAGTATAATGAATAAGTAAATATTACATTATTTTTATTCATAAATAATAGGTATGACCAAGTACTACATCTTGTTGAGGAAAAATGTATGTGATCACATTATTTGTCCATGACTGACCTGCTCATTGTTCCTTCCATTTCTGACTGGCAGGTCCTAATGGAACAACTTATTTCCCAGGGCTTTTAGGTTGTAATATATTTTTAATCTTATGTATTATCTTTGCAAAAATCAAAAGACTTTCACAAGAATTTGACAAGTCTAAAGATTTGAAAACAGTTGTACTTCCTTATGAAAAGGGAAAAATCTGTTCTGTGTTTATTCATATTCATATGCTGAACTTTTTAATACTCATGTAAGGAGGGTGGACATAACAGTTCTAGAAACAACATTAAAATATAAATGGAACACAAGCACTCCACTGGGAGGAGTTTACTTTGCTTACAAAGTAGAACTGTACTTTTTATAAAGATGATCTCCTTGAGCAGGCAGAATGAGCCAACAGAAAGAGCTAAAAGAGACTCAGTGAGAAAGACTTTCTCCATTTATTTTATTAATATAAAACCCTTTATCATTTTTAAAAACTCTTCATTCTATCTTTGTTAAACAGCATTCACTCAGTAAGTTGAATGTTTACTTCAAGTTTTGTTTCCGCTTAAAAATTCAAGGCCATTGGAAATGCTACAATTATATATGTGAAAAAAGGACACAGAGTTAACAATAAGGTTTAGTTGGCTTTACCTCATTTATAATGATCCAGTGACAGTCAAAAGCAACCAAATTAGTCTCCACAACCTAGAATAGAAAACAAATCAGCTATCAGTCAAAATTAATCATGCAAAACAAACCCAACTAAATGAATATACTTTGCAAATGACAAAAAATGAATCGTATGTTAGAAAGGTCTTTGTTACTCAATTGAAGATGGAAAAATTATTAGCAAAACACTGTAGATGCATTTGCATTTGACATACATATAGATGCACTGTAGACTTGCTAATTATATTTGAAAACATAATTCATCAAAACCTAGAAAACCATGGGTTTCAACAGAAAAAAATACATAAATAAAATACACTGTTTTGTGATTTAACTGAGAGTGGAGAGTGGAGTTAAAATTTCAAATCACATTCCCTACTCGAAATAAACTTTGATGTCTTTTTATCATCTACCTAATAAATATCAAAGTACATAGCTTCTACAATCTGGCTCTAACTTAATATTCTTATCTGCTGCTACTTCTCTGTGTATATGCTTTCTACTGTTTTGACTAAGTAAACTGCTCTGTATTCTCCTGAAAATGTTTGTAACGTGTATTCTAAGGTGATCTATTCTAAAATTATCTGAAAGTTAAATACCAAAAGTGATAGGCAACATACTAGCATTAAAGCATGGGTAGGAAATTTTAGTAGCTTTTAGATTGCTAATAAGATGAAAAGAAATAAAATATATTTAAAAGGAAGAATAAAAATATATGGGTAGCACTCTTTGTTTGACTAACTTCAGATACATTTATTCTAAATGATTCTTGGCTTAGGCCAAAGAAGTAAGCCTCAGATGTGTGCATGCGTGTGTGTGTGTGTGTGTGTGTGTGTGTGTGTGTGTGTAGTAGGGGCAGTTTCTATATGAAGGTTTCTACGCTAATAAATCTTATCATACATATTCTAAGACACGTTCTTCTGATTTATGCATGGCATGGGCATATAATAAGTGAGACTCTTTTGTAAGAGGTCATTCTGTTGTTTTTAGCAATAATACTCAGCGATTGGGTTTCAAATGAAGATGCTTTCAAATAACTATCAAGGAGTTGTTATAGAAGGTGAATTGCATTTTGTTGGCTATTCTTTGTTCTACCGAGAAACACCTGCTAAGAGGTGCATTGCATCACAAAAAATAAAATTGGAAATATATTTGGTATGTGACTCAATGTTTTTTCAAAGTACGTAATTAGTTGCAGAATCTTTGTTTTTTAACACTTGGTACAAGTTTCATACTATTCCATTATACATCACATTGTTCCCTGTGACTTTATTGAGGTGTAGAGATAGTACATGATCAGATAATTGAGGATATGTTATCTACTTCTAAGCTTTATTATTATTATCATTTTTAATTTTATTTTATTATTATTATACTTTAAGTTTTAGGTTACATGTGCACAATGTGCAGGTTTGTTACATATGTATACACATGCCATGCTGGTGTGAAGTGAGCGAAGGATATGAACAGACACTTCTCAAAATAAGACATTTATGCAGCCAAAAAACACGTGAACAAATGCTCATCATCACTGGCCATCAGAGAAATGCAAATCAAAACCACAATGAGATACCATCTCACAGCAGTTAGAATGGCGATCATTAAAAAGTCAGGAAACAACAGGTGCTGGAGAGGATGTGGAGAAATAGGAACACTTTTACACTGTTGGTGGGACTGTCAACTAGTTCAACCATTGTGGAAGTCAGTGTGGCGATTCCTTAGGGGTCTAGAACTAGAAATACCATTTGACCCAGCCATCCCATTACTGGGTATATACCCAAAGGATTATAAATCATGCTGCTATAAAGACACATGCACACGTATGTTTATCGCGGCACTATTCACAATAGCAAAGACTTGGAACCAACCTAAATGTCTAACAACGATAGACTGGATTAAGCAAATGTGGCACATATACACCATGGAATACTATGCAGCTATAAAAAATGAAGAGTTCATGTCCTTTGTAGGGACATGGATGAAACTGGAAACCATCATTCTCAGCAAACTATCGCAAGGACAAAAAACCAAACACCACATGTTCTTACTCATAGGTGGGAATTAAACAATGAGAACACATGGACACGGGAAGGGGACCATCACACTCCAGGGACTATTATTATCATTTTTGAAATATATGTATACTCCACTTATAGGTGAAACTTAATAATTAAAACATAACCTATGGCAGTTTTCAGTTTTAGCTAAAAAAAAATAAAAAAAAAACACTTTATACCAGTAATGGTAATCCTTATTTCAAATTTTCTGATTGTTTTACTTTAAACATCTAAGAGACAAATAATGAAAAATTTATTAACAATAAAAAGTAACAGAAAATACGTGAGACTCCATTAGATTAAAAAGACTTCAAACTAGAAACTAAGATATAAGGAAAGTGGGTTTCTGGGTAAAATAAAGAGAAATATGTTGTACAAGGGGGTAAACCACTACTAAAATATGTAAATAGAATTCAGAGAAAAAGAAGTGAATACCAATAGATAGGCAGCATGGATGTAAAATACTTCTGAAGCAATAGTAGTACAGTGATTCTATTTAGCTTAAGTTATCCTCATTTGAAGCTAAATAATAATCTTCGCTATGTAATCAGATAAGGCAAAATTTAAACTATAAGCACTCTGCATCACCTGTAGAAATTACTAAATGAGAAGTTGTTTTGTGCAACAGCATTTATGGACTAAGTAGAAGGTAAGAGTTATGATGATAACTTGTTGGTAACTTATCTAGACCATGAGATTTACCCATGGCTCTTCATCTTAAAGTATGTTAGGCAAAAGCAAGAAATAATATTGAGGCACAAATCCTGTATTTCAGTGAAGAAGAAAGACAAACATGTTGTCTAAAGCCATGATTCTACTCACTGTACTATCCTCTGTTGCTTAGGGTCAGCAAGGAGATAGTCTCTCCTTCTGGTCTTTGGTTTTATTCATGAGTATTAACATCTAAGATATTTTAGCAGTATAAATTTGTTACAAGCAAACATTAGCACATTACTACAGATAAATAAATAAATCATCTATCTTCATGTTCTAAATTGAGTGCTCTTCACCATAGGCAAGTACTAAGTATCTGTGAACCTTCAGTATGAGTCCTGTATGTCTTAATGTGCATTTTTAAGAAAGAGTCTATCTGAATCTCTTTTGGGTCCTCAAGTTAACAGGTCTCCTACGAGTTCTATTGGACCAACTATTCTAAAATCATTAGTCCTCAAACTTAGTCTCCAATTTAGGTTACTAAATGAATTTAAAAAATACCCTGCCCTACAAACAAGTGAGTGGATACAAAGTTTATCAGAAAAACTAGACTATATTAATAGCATAATCATTTAAAGTCACCTCAATTTTTAAGCAAAGTCAAGGGTTCATGTGGTAGAAACTGCTAGATGATCATCAAAATCCATTCTCTCCTTCTGCTGGGACACTCAGCTAGACTACATTTCCCATCCTCCACTGCAGGGTATTACAAGGCCATGTGACTGAGTTCTAAGCCAATAGAATGTGAGCCGAGTGATGTACGCCACTTTCAAACCTGACTCATAAAACCTCCCATGTGCTTGTGTCTGCTCTCTGTCCATTCCAGCTTAGTAGGATTGTGACGTCACGCCTAGAGACCTTGGAAGCCACAGTAGCTCCAGTGCATGGAGCAGACTCCCCTTTCCTACTCTATGCTGTAGTGCTGAGCTGACATGAAACAAATCTTTAGTAGTAGAATATTACATTTTGGGTCTACTTGTTAGACTAATTTAGCCCATCTTATCTTTAATGCAAAGCATTTTTATTAACTTCAGCTATGCACTTTTTCTAATCTTAATAAATTTTAATAAACATACTCACTAGAGTAACTTTTAATTCTGTGATTTTATAATGGCATGATTTCAAAATTATGCAATATTTCTTGGCCTTTTCAAAAATATTGAATATTTAGAATCTTTTTTACAAACACATTTTTATCTGGAGAAGAAAAACGAATTATACTAGAATGGTCCTTAAGAATAAAAAAACAGATATGTCTTGTCTTTTTAATTATATATCAATGTATATGTAATATACACAACTAAAATCCATGTATTATTGTGACATCATGTGTTAAAGAAGCTTGAAATTTTTTGTAATGTTCTACACAGAAAGTTAATTCTTCCATTTATTATCTGAGAAAATATTCACTAAACAAGGGTTATAATTTCCCTAGGTCTAGGTTAACATCTTCATGCATAACCAGTGGGCTGGCATGAGTTCTCTGAGATTTTGTAATCAAATGTTACCAAAATAAAGCAATGTTAAAAAGCCACTGAATAAAAAGGTAACTGATATCAGTAATGGTAGGAGCATTTAGTAAGGGGAATAAAAAGATAAAATGGAATTCAATAGCCTAGACCTTGGAAATCCAGTAAGCTTTGAGTTCTCTCACTTAAATGAGTAGTGTATTATACACACACATACACACACACACAAAAAAGAATGTATAGTAGTATGATATATATATATTCAGTGAAACATATATGCACTTATATGCATATCACTTCAAAGTGGTTAAAACTCCAGTAGAAGTAGAATTAAAGGAAATAAAGGAGAAAAAGCAGTGATAATATTGTTTATGCTTCTCATGTATTATCAAATTGAGCTAATATGGAGTGAGCACTTACAAAAAAATAATTTACCTAAAAAGAATTTCTGAGCTCTTTGTGTAGATAACAGAAGACAACTATTATAAATCCCAAATCAATTCACCTGATTGTTTTTATAGTTTTAAATAATGTTGATCTCTTTCCACTTGGTAACACTTGCAGCTATATAATGCTCTATCACACTAGTGGCATTACTAACTTGAGGGCTAAATTACTTCTGGATTTTAGAAGTTATTTGAAGACAAGCTAGAATTTTTAAAGCCTTTATATTTACTGCCACAGGAAATTGTTTTCTTTTCCCACATTCCTTATCTATTTAGCATATCTTCTAATCTCCTATTTTAGCAGTGAACGTATTTGAAATCAATGAAAGGAATTAAGAAATTTGATTGCAATTTTCCTTTTTTCATTTGGAACCTGTTTAATATCTAGGCACATCATTATTATAGTTGTTTGGGCTCATTGTGTGAATTCTTAGAAATATTTTACAAGCTCATAAACACTAGTGCTGTTTAAACAAAAATTTCAAAAAGTTTTCGATTATTATAAAATATTGAAGGTATTAAAATAATATTGATTTTAAAAAACCACTATCCAATGAGGACTCTATTTAATAATATGCTTGGTTATCAAAATAACAGGAAAGATTGAGGTATGGCTTTCCCTTGGTAATGAATTTCCTCTCTTCCTCTTATCCTATAATTCTCTTTTGTCATTATACATGTGCACATTAATAATCTAAAAAGAGCATGACATGTTCATATAGAGTTGATGCCACTTTGAAATATAGCAATGTAATTATAACAAATTAAACTATCCCACCTCCCAAGAAGCTGAGCTTACTATAAGGGAATTGAGCAAAAAAGGAAAAAAAAAAATCAAGTCCTGTCAGGAAGACAAGCAATGAGTAAGGACAGACCATCTGTCACTGGCAGGAACTTTAGAACTTCTGAATCTTTGGAAAAGCTCGACAATTTATCACTGTGTCTTCCATCATTCATTCTCAAATCTTTAGATGTGCTAAATATAACACAACCCAATGCAAGGAAATCAACAACCCTGCCCGAGCTTGTTTCTCACTAGTAATAAATGTGGAACAGTTCCTACAAGTGCAGGGGACGATTTAATTGACTAAACAATAACAGCAACATGCTGTTTATCACTCAACCTTGTGGCTTAACTAAATTAAGCTTGTTCCTTTTGCAGGATGTACTAAATATTACACATTTACGCAGAGAGTTCCAGTGCTCTGTGCACCTGTAGCAGCAAAGATATCAGGTGTTTGCTTCCCTATTTCTAGCCCTTCCAAATCATCAGGTGGAGATCAGCAAGGGGCATGCATAGGCAGAGGACACCAGCAGATACGCTGGAACAAGTGGCTAGAGAAACACTAAAGAGCTACTCCCTTTCTGGCTTCTCATCTATAGCAATATTATAGCTTACTTATATCAGCATTTTTGGAACTATATTCTGTAGGACACTAGTTCCACTAAAAGTAATGAGTTTTCTGTAGCTAAGTAGATTTAGAAATATTGGGCTAAGCAAAGTTAAACAGATGCTATTACCACATTATTCCTCAAAGCTTTAAACAGGTTAACATGAATATAGAAATATAATTAACATAAAAATCATATTAATATATACTATTTCACTGATTGATATTATGGAACATATAGCTTTGTGCTTGTGAGTGCAATCTCTAAAGTCAGATTTAGTACCTTTATTTTCTGAGTGTGACTTTGAACAAATTATAAACCTGTTTCCTTTTTTGTCAGTAAGAATAATGATAGTGCCCACACAATAGAATCAGAATGAACATTAAATGAGATAATGGTATATGGTAAACTGTCAGTAAATATCAGCTCCTCACATTTCAGTTCATGTGCCTTATTGATCTCTAGGAGAAGATATTTGGATTATAGAATATTTCAGATGGATTTGACCACAGAAACCATTTTTTTCCACTGCAAGTCTCATGGGATTAGTACGGTTTGGAACATGTAGACTATAATCAATGTTAATTTAGCCACACATTTCTAAAGGTTCTAAAATTTTACTGAAATACCAGAAGGAATTTTGTCATTTTAAATTGCAATCCCACAATAAACCTACAGAGAGCACGACAGAGGAAAATATTTCCACAAAACAAAAACAAAAGATGACTTACTGTATTTTATATGACACAAATGTATATGTAATGTTTTTTTGTTTGTTTGTTTGTTTGTTTGTTTTGAGACGGAGTCTCGCTCTGTCGCCCAGGCTGGAGTGCAGTGGCGCGATCTCGGCTCACTGCAAGCTCCACCTCCCGGGTTCACGCCATTCTCCTGCCTCAGCCTCCCGAGTAGCTGGGACTACAGGCGCCCGCTACCACGCCCGGCTAATTTTTTGTATTTTTAGTAGAGACGGGGTTTCACCGTGTTAGCCAGGATGGTCTCGATCTCCTGACCTCGTGATCCGCCCGCCTCGGCCTCCCAAAGTGCTGGGATTACAGGCGTGAGCCACCGCACCCGGCCTATGTAATGTTTTTGACCAAATGGTGATACTTGTGCTTCTTTCCTTTTAATTATTTTTATCCCTATTTAAAAACAAAATAGACAAAATAAAACCACAATGTTCTCTCCAACAAAAGGGAGTATGTAGTATACAAAGTTTATAGTGTATAATATATTTTTAGCAAGGGCTTTGTGGATTTACAGTTCAAACTATATCCAGTTGCCTGAGTGTTGCATATGGCCAAAGTGCACTACTATAGAGTTCTGCTAAAACTAAACAAACAAACACCAACCAAAAAAATGCAATTATTATAAATACTATGTCTGAAACACAGTGGCCATACGAAACTCCAACCTTCTCAAGGTACAGGAAACATGTACATGACCTGAGTTTTGTTTTCTTCACTTGTTTTCTTTAGCTGGTTATTGTTGCTGTTTTTCTCATTAAAGAACTGAAGCCAAGACATAGGGAGACTGGAGTATTATTTGTTTAGATACCATTTTTAAATCCCAAGAATATCCAGCAGATGGCATTAGTAATCCCTCACGCCAACACTGGGCAGCATGGGGATATTCTGAAAGGACTGTCTTGTTTGCATTTCCCCTTGAGCTCAGCATGGATCCTCAACTGTCTTCTGTTCTTTTCCAAGCAGCCACTATCTGCCATTCCACTCTGCTTTTTTGCTTTAGAATCTCTGCTCTGATCTTCCAGCTGGAAGACCACAAATACACTTTCATCCAAATCCTCTTGCCATTACTGCCAAAGTTATTTCATAAACGGATATGCTAGATTTATTGTTACTGCTGTGCAGTGGGGTCTTCCCACACCCTGTGGGAGATGAAAATATGCCACCGCTGAGACTTAGCCAACACTGTGCTACCTGCTCTGCTTCTTAATGTGTAATGCAAGAGATAGACTGCATTCATCATGTGGCATAGACCAACTTTCCTGTGTTCTATATTATTGAACAAAGATTGAACAGTGATTAAAAGCAAATTCATGATTTCAGTACTTTACCTCATGAGAATAAAGATTTAAAAATCATTGCCAGTGTCAGAAACCACTGTGTTACTGTCTTTAATTCTCTGTGAGTTTCTGCTGGCATTGGGGTTTTCCTGGGCGTTTGCTGTGGTGATTTAAGGTGCATTATGCCAAAACATTAGGAAAAGCGGTGTTTGTTGAAGGACCCCTCATCCCTTGCCTATTTTACCATATGCTAATATGGTAACTTTTGGCACCATCAGGAAATTACACTAAAATATTTATTTTCTTGTAGCTATTATTTTTTAATAGCTAAATGACCCTTGGCAGAGTAAATTAATTCTTAAGTATGACAGGCAAACAAATGAATATGAGTTCTTAGTTGGATTTTGATCAACGCTTAAAATGATTTGGGGGTAAATTGGCACTTAATTGCTAGGATTTATGAACTAAGGCTTTCTTGCTATCTTGAAGCCAATAAAGAAAAAATAAAGTTTTTCAAGTCTATTCA
Source organism: Homo sapiens (assembly GCF_000001405.40). Classification (NCBI taxonomy): domain Eukaryota; kingdom Metazoa; phylum Chordata; class Mammalia; order Primates; family Hominidae; genus Homo; species Homo sapiens. The sequence goes on along the minus strand of NC_000004.12, from coordinate 93,198,812 downwards.
TCACGTCTAAATGCAATATATGAGCTCTCCACAGCTGTGGACTTTCATGCTTTGCTTTGTTCCTTTTGACCTCTTCTCAGTTTCTCTGTTTGACAAAGTGTTTCTCATAACTCAAATTGTGAACAAAATGTCAAACCCTTCCCATCCTACCTCTCTAACTCCAGGCAGTATTATCCCAACCCTTATGCTTGCCTGACACTCTGAGCCAACCTCTATCCCAGCCTTAATGAAATCGTAGATAACTATGTAAGTGGCTGTGAGGGCCATGTTGTACGTATTTTATATAACCCCTTAGTCCCTCTGGTTCAGCTGTAATCACTTTCCTGCTGGTCCTCTAGTATAGTTCAGCCTTTGTCCTTATGTTGCCTCCTGGATTGCTCTTCCATTAGAGACACACACATAGCTCCCTCCTTCATTTCATTTAGGTCTCTGCATGTGACTTCATCAGGCATGACTTCTATGATCATCCATTATTGCTCCCCCATGAGTCTCTGTTACTTTTGTCCTATTCTTTAGAGCATTTATCCCACCTGAGACAAATAAACACACACAGAGTCACTTATTTACCATCTCTTTCTGTGCTGTAGAATAAGCTTCATGGTAGTAAGGACTTCATTTTGGTCACTGGTCTATCCCTTTACAGTGAGTGACACATAGTAGGGTTTCAATAAAATGGATTGCTAGGAATGGGTCAGATTTTTTTTCCTAAATGTTGCTTGCGGAAATAAGAGAACCATATAGCCCTAACTCGTCCTTATACATCTGTGGATATCCATACCTCACCTAGGACTAAACTATTTGATAAGCTCATATAAAAAGGAAGTCATTAGAAAAAATTTTAATTAAAAAATTAAATCAGAAAATGAATCAATTTACATTTTCTCAAGTGAGAAGATCTTAACTATTTATATAGTAATTAAGTATAGAAATATTAAATTCAAAATCTGCAAAGCCAAATACCTCAGGACTTGGAGACTATCTGATACTAGAAAAATAAAATGAAAGTTGAGTAAATGGGCTTGAATTCAAATGCTGGGCCTCCTTAACTGTAACAAGGTATGTTACATACTCTGAGTCTCAGGTTCCTGATGAGCTGAATGACATTTTCTTCATGGAGGCATAGTGAGGACTAAATGGCTAAATGTATCTAAAGCATCTGGAACATTACATGTGTTCAAAAATCACTCAAGTTACTGTAATACTTTTGACAGTACTCATAAATGGTCATGTTTGACAACATTTATTCTGTCCAGTAAATGCTTATTGAATGCTATTTACAGTATGTCATTAATAATAATAGTATAAGCTAATATTTGTTGAGTGCTTACTATGTATGACACTATGTGTTTTTATATACACACACACACGTAGATAATAACTCATTTAATTATCACAACATCCTTATCATGCAAACACTACAACTATGTGCATTTTAAATATGAAGAAACTGAGGAACAAAAAGTTAAAGTAACTCACCCAAATCATAAAGCGAAACAGGAGTGGATGCAAGAGTTAATAATTAGTAAAGATATGTTCTACAAAATTTTCTCATAGCCCTCTGCTTCTAAGTTGCAGAACCTGTTATGTAGTTTTCAAAATTAGAATTACAGTTAAACTGAATGTTGCAGAACATTTTGTGGGATACACTAGACTTTTATTTATTTATACTCCACTGTGTTAACTTACGTGCATCCATTGTATAACTGATAGAGAAAGAGACTAAACCATAGAAGACTTTGAACAATACAGGTGATTCCATGACTATTTGCCTTAAAGTGGTATAAGAAAATGTGCTTTTCCTTTAGTAAGACTTACTTTTCATATTCTTTTCAGAATGAGAGAAATTTGCTACACTGGTTAACTGATTAAACATTTCATGTACACACACACATACAGTCACATACACATGTATATTCCTGATGTTTAACCAGAGAAGTATTTGCACCTGACACTTAACCAGAGAAACAGTTATCTGTTACTGTTCTTTCATCACAACGAAACTTCCCATTGCCACCAGAGGAGGAAAACAAAAAAGCTTCTAGAGGAGAAATTGGACGACGATTCTTAGATACTGTGCCAATAAAGCAACATGGCAATTAAGCATCTAGTTTCTGTAGTTAGACAGTTAATTAGTCTACTACTGTTCTTACACTAATGAAAGTCTTTGTGTAGCTTGGTAGTATACTGTTATAAGTAGCTCATCGTTGATGAAGCTACTATGGAGGCTAATTATTTCTCATTAAAAAACAGTCCTAGTTCAATATTTCTGTTATCCTTGGACTTTTCCAGTATTACATGGGGATTTTGCTTTCTAGAATTTTAAGAGTGGCATAAAATGTTGATGATTCTACTAAAATTAAAAGACTTCACAGGAAAACAAAAATCAAAAGGTTTTATTGTTTTTCTGTGCAAAATATCCAAAAGAAAATGCAGGGAAATGCAAAAGGTGAATTTCCATGTCCGTCTTCCTAAGCTACTTGTGTTTTGTCATTCTCAAAGTAAGCTCAGGAGGTATAGTCTTTGAAATTTTTACTGAATCAGAACAGGACCTTGGAGCTTTCTGGGGTTTCTAAAATTTCTTTCATAGTTTCTTCCATAAAAAGGCAGCTTTGTGGCCTACTGTAAAAAATGTTTTCAAATGGTGTTGGGCTTGATAGCATGGAAACTTTCCATAATTCCAAGCAATTGACTTCCCTGCCTGAGTTATTTCACTAGGATGAAGTATAAACTACCTTTTCTTACCATTGAAAAATTACCTTACGGTGTTCGAACTGTGTTTAGTAACAAAAAGTCAGTTGAAACTGAGGTACCAGATGCCAACTGCTCAAACAAAATGTCACTTGCAGAGCAGAATTCTAGAATTCGACAAAGGAGCCCATTTGTGATCACATAAAGCAAGAACATTCGAAGTCATCTGCTATATTTTAGTGATCATAACCTTTCTTAAAAATTTTACATGTATGCTTATCTGTCAGCGTTTATGATTGCATACTTCCTATAAAACAATTAGAGTTACTCTGAATGCCATTTATATGTCTTAGAATTCACTGTTCTACCTTTCCTAGAAATGGAACACACAACTGGGTGCTTTGGTGTTATTGCAAATTCATGGCTTCTAACCCCTAGTTAAAGCTGACCCTCATTCTTTTTCTGTATATAGTCAGTTCTGCTCTTCTTCCATTCTCAAGGCAGTGACAATTCAACCTTCCAGTGTATTGACATGTCCCACCTCAAGTGCTGTGTCTCATCTTCTCTGCCTGATGACGTTGTCCAGCTTATTTGGCCATACACAAATATAACCTGGAATATGGCATATGTTAGAACCACTGGAGATCAACTCTCAAACAGTGGAGCTGGAAGTAAGTACATAAATGTTTCAGTCTCTCCACTCTCCACTGGGTGATTCTGAGATATATTCCACACATGCTTTCTCAGATGGTTCTCCACAGGATTGAGACCTATTTGCCCACAGTTGTAACCCTTTCTTGTTAACACATGCTTGACTGGCTTTTCTCCTTACCCTCTCTCATGTTCACCACTTCCTCACTTGTGCTTCCTGGGAACACCTCCTTAATAAGCCATCTGCATTCAACTCCTTGTCTCAGTATCTGTACCAGTAACTCAAACTGAGTCAGCCTTCCTATACAAATTACACAATTTGTTACATGAGGGGAGTAGTCCTATAGTTAAAATAAAGATACTTGTAAGAAGTAGAACATACGTTCCAACTATCCTATACATAAAAAAATTAGAACAAAATTCTTGAGAAATTAAAATTATTCACAATCTGTCCATAGGAATTGTCTTCTTGTAATATACCCTTAAGCCACTCTCATAATTCTAAAAAGCTGTGCACAATGTATTTGAGTATTGTTTACATCAATGGTGCTCAAGTTTAGCATACGTTATAATCACCTGGAGGGCTTTTTAAACACAGATTGCTGGGCCTACCCCAATAGTTTCTGATTTAGAAGGTCTGGCATGGGGTCTGAAAATTTTAATTTCTAACGAGTTCTCAGTTGATGCAATATTGTAGGTTCAGGGAATGATTTTGAGATCCACTGTTTTATGAAGAGTCCTGGTCAGGGACTGAATGGATTTGAGTCTATATTATTTAATTAATAAACAAAGCCATTCTGCCTTGTTGAGCACCTGAAGAATGTACCAGACACATTGCTAGGTACTGGAGTTGTTTCAACAAGCAAGACAGAGTTTGTCCTGTTCTAAATGAGCTTTCAGACTGGCTACACCGGATACTTATTAGGATTATGAAAAGTATGCCAATACCTGCCAGTCCACACATAATAGTCCAGCAGAAATAACTAAAGACATGCATCTTTCCATAGAAGGAAAGACAAAAGGCTTGTTTTAGAAAAAAATACTATATTTTCAAGCCTATTGTAAAGAGAAAATAGCATATCTGAAAAAAACTCCTTAAAACACACTAAAGTGTTATATTTATACTTCAATCATTGCTACACAAATTATAGCTTTGCACAAATTAGTTTGATGACACATATTTTCTATTTGTGGTGATGTTATTTACAAGAATTAAGTTTTCAGGGTTTGTAAACATAAACTTTTTTCCACTACCATGTTTTGTTTTTCTTTTTTCATCTCAAGTGATAAGATCAGCCTTGAGTATAGACAACCAATTATATCCTGAAATACATCATTGGATTCCACTGCTCTTTATTTCTTACATTCCATTCCAGGTTCAAGAGTAGGAATGAGTTCCGCTAAACTGTTAAATAAATGACTTGTCAAAGCTTGCTTCAACTAACTCCAGGCAGATAAAGAGAAAAAATTCTTGAAGATTACTGTATGTATTTCTGCCCTTTAGTCAGTTTTTATTTTGAGAATCAATCTTTATTAGGAACTACAGAATAGGACTAAGGTGTGTTTCTGTTACTAGAGTTGAGGCCATAAATGCTGTGAGGTACAATTGTGGCCTATAATTCAGGGGGTATCCTGGAGATGTATGCCAAGACTTTCTTCGTCTATTTTAAAGAAGCATATACCCGTTTTAAATCTCTTATATGTATCATAGTTTACTGAAATAATTATCAGTGTTTCACAGTTAGCATACATCTCTATTTAGCACAATTTCACAGTTTACTCATGTCAGAATACAAAAGGAAAAGAGCAAATAAGGATATATTAGTCCATACTCATGCTGCTCTAAGGACATACTTGAGACTGGGTAATTTACAAAGGAAAGAGGTTTAATTGAATCACAGTTCAGTGTGGCTGGGGAGGCCTCAGGAAACTTACAATCATGGCAGAAGGGGAAGCAAACACGTCCTTCTTCACATGGTGGCAGGAAGAAGTGCAGAGCAAAAGGGGCAAAAGCCCCTATAAAACCATCAGATCTCGTAAGAACTCACTCACTATCATGAGAACAGCAGCATGGGGGTAATTGACCCCATGATTCAATTACCTCCCACCGGGTCTCTCCCATGACACGTGGGGATTATGGGAACTACAATTCAAGATGAGATTTGGGTGGGGACACAGCCAAACCATATCAAATGATCTATTTGATAATGATCCCTCGGTCTCCTTCAGACCCAAGGAGATGGGCTGACAACTGTAATTCTGGGAGCTACTTGTATTCCTCTACAGAAACAGTCATTAAGCAGGCTGGCTGACTGGCTTTAAAAGCTTTCCTTCCAAGATGACTTGATGATAGAATTATTAGAAGAGAGTCTTTAAGAGTATTCTGGTAGCACTAATTCTTGTGCTAATTAAGGACAAGGACATACTTGAAGTAAATATTCTGTGGTTTTGATCACCACAATTGTTGAAATGATGTGATCTTTTTGTTGTTGTTTTGCTTTTCATTTGTTTCTTTTGTAGACACATTGGTGTAACACATTTTAAAAATATATGCACCCCACTACAGAACAAATAATTATCTCATGAGATAAGGCAGGCAATACCTTAGTTCGGCAGGCTTGTTCTTATGGACACATTTCACCCTGATTTGCAGTATGACAGTGTGGTTAGCTCAGGATAATTTTAAAATCAACAGAAATCTCTTTTTTTTTTTTTTTTTTTTTTTTGAGATGGAGTTTTGCTCTTGTTGCCCAGGCTGGAGTGCAATGGCACAGTCTTGGCTCACTGCAACCTCTGCCTCCCAGGTTCAAGCAATTCTCCTGCCTCAGCCTCCCGAGTAGCTGGGATTAGAGGCACCTGCCACCATGCTGGCTATTTTTTGTATTTTTAGTAGCAATGGGTTTTGCCTTTCCACGTGTTGGCCAGGCTGGTCTTGAACTCCTGACCTTAGGTAATCTGCCCACCTTGGCCTTCCAAAGTGCTGGGATTACAGGCGTGAGCCACAGTGCCTGGTCTGAAATCTCCTTTCTTAAGACCTACCCATCCTTTGCTTTTAGGAATAAAATCTTGTATCTTACACTATAAGTTGTAAACTATTCACTGAAGTGTTTATCATTCAAGTTTCTAATGTAAGGATTTAAGAGAAAAATGTATTTGTTAGAGAAGGCTATCTATTTTCCTAAAAATAGAATATTGGCCTATTGTAAGGCTTCATTTTTCAAGTTCTTTCGGTGAGGTGTGAAATTATTTTAAATGGAATGATTTCAGTTGCTGGTTGCCCCATTTTGTTAAAAAAGCAAAGTGTTAGTAAGGTTATGGATTCAGTTCCTCTCTAGGTAAATTACTGTTCCTGTCTTCTAGAATCATGGTTATGTCTGTAAGGGGACATAAGACATAAGCCCCAGTGAAAATAAAATGGAACATTATCCAATCACCATCAAGTCTTCAAATGTAGAATATAAAGGGCAGAATATTGTTGTTAGAAAGAGATATTGTGAAGGTGTAAAAAGAACAATGAATGGTCATATAGAAATAGATAGAAGATATTATGGGTATAATGAGCAAGCAATTTATGGTTGGCATTTTCCAGAACATATTGCAGAGATAAAATTTTCTTGAAATGTTTTTGATAAATAAAATATGCTTGAAATGAATTTTGAGTAAATTAAAAGCAGAGATTGATACTGTTATGAAGATAGTTACATATTACTTGACAATAATAATTGATATGGCAGGGCAGATTGGGCTTGGATAAAAGCAATTTGGGACACATGGGAGAGAATTAGACAAATCTTGATGTGACAAAAAGAAAAATAAATGTTTATTGCTATTTTCAGTATTATTCCAAAGGTAAGATTTTTTTTAAAACAACACTTAGTGATAAAGAAATAAAGATATGTAATAATGGCTCTGTGCACAATTTATAATTTGTATAAAATATATTTAGAGTAAATTTGTTAAAATTATATTTGTATAAGTGTTGCAAATTAAAATTACATATAATTTAAAAATCATTTTGTGGGTTCAATTACGTTCAACAAATTAATGTTTCTATTTATAAGGGCCATAAAGAATCTCTCTCAACATTTTAGAAGTTAGGTATGTGAGCAAAGAGGAAGACAGCTTGCTATGGCAGTTCAGATTCTGATATACAGAGTAGTAAGAAGCAGGAAAGCAACATTTCTTACCAACTGATCCTTTAACATGGTTACATTCTTTCCAGGTATGGTTTTTCATCATACATACTACCAGTACATTATTGCAAAGACTATCTAGAGTTTTGCTATTTTTTGTGCTAAAAATGAATAAAAATCTCCATTAAAAATAAAACACGTGCTTCTTCATCCTTCTAATTTTATTAAATTTTATTTTGCATGTACACTATTAAAAATGCATAATCAACTTTATCTGAAATTTTTAATACTTGCAATTATGCCAGATCATTCTCAGAACTAATAAAATTTCTGAGATAAATTAAGATTAATTTCTAAATATTCTTCAAATTATTTTGTAGATTATCTACTGTAAGCCATAGAAATCACAAATAATTTTCAAAAATTCTAAATCATATTTATATTATATTGAAAATTATACCTTAACTTTCTTTTACTTAAACTTGCTTTATGAATAAAGGTATCTGCAAATCTAATGAAAAGAATTATGTCAAAGACCCAAAACATCCAATATGAATTATGATTAAAACAGTAACACAAAAGAAAAATAATTAGTTAAAGGATGATCTAGCTCTAAAGCTAGGAAATAGCGTAGGTCATATTGCTAAATTGTGTATTTTCTCTCTGTCCTAATAAAAGTTGACACTGTTCAAAAATCCTTATCTTTAGCTTTGAATATGACTAAGAAACTTAAAAAGGAAACATTTCAAATGGAAAAAATGTTATTGAGAGCCAAGAAAAGGACATTTTTAGGGTTGAGAGTTGGATATGATTTGGAATCTGAAACACCTCAAATATTTGCTGTTTGAAATTCAAACTATAATTGAAATTGTCAGGTGGTTCACCAAAATGTCAAGGGTTATCCAATCTGCCAAATTTCTGAATGAAGTTGAAAAGACAGCAAATCTTGGATAAAGAATAAGATTTTCCTGCAGAGCTGAATTAAGTCCTCTTTATTAAGTCAATGGCTATGTCAATTTATAGAAATCAATAGTGGCTTTTGAGATGTAGTTTAATAAAATATAGAAATCTATATTAAGTTCTAGAAATATCAAGGTTATAAACAAGAAGTCTATATAAAGACAATACAGTTTGTTGTTTCTTTTTATTTTAATAAAAAACAAAAGTGTTAGTTCCCTTTCTTGAAACATTTTATTTTAATTTAGGTAACAAATTATGACATAAATATAAAGAATGAAACCATTAGGCATTCTAAACTATGCCAATTTAAAAGATAATATAAAAAATAAATGCAAAGTCAATGTGACAAGTTTGAACTTCAGTAGTTGTAAATATGCTCATCCAAAGAGGGCAACAGAAATTAAAACCACCAATACTGGTGTCATTCTCAGAGTTCAAAGGGAAAAAGTTACCACTAGATGAAGAGGTAAGGACTTTGATCTATTGCAGGTTTTTTATACACACTTTTGGAGCAGAAACAAAAAAATCTTACTCTGAAGTTTGTTTTTTTTTTAAAGATGAGATTTGTGTGTGTGTGTGTGTGTGTGTGTGTGTGTGTGTGTGTGTGGTGTGGTGTGGTGGTGTTGTTGTTTAGTACCACACAAAACTATCTGTATATTCCTTAGTTCCATATTCCCTCTGCAAAGTACAGGTGGTAAAGCAATTTGGAATCAATGGATATGTGGATACTTCGGTATGGTGCTGAACAAAAAATTAATATGATTGAATGAAAGTACACATTGAATTATCAGTCAGATCCTCCCTGAAACTAGAAAAAAATGTTTAGATGGCTATTGCTATGATCTGAATGTTTGTATCCCTCCAAAATTCCTGTGTTGAAACCTAGTCATGAAGGTGCTGGTATTAGAAGATGGGCCCTTTGGGAAGTGATTAGGTCATGTGAGCATAACCGTCATGAGTAGGATTAGTGAACTTATAAACAAATGTGAGGGATCTGGTTATCAAATTTTGCCCTTCTACCATGTGAGGATGCAGTAAGAAGGCACCAATTTAAAGTAGAAAGGGAGTCCTCATCAGACACGGAATCTGTTGGCACCTTGATCTTGAACTTCTCAGTCTCCATAATTGTGAGCAATAAATTTACATTGTTTATAAATTACCCATTCTAAAGTATCTTGTTACAGCAGCCCAAACTGACAAACACAGAATTTGGTACCCAAAACTGGGGTGCTGCTATAACAAATAACTTAAAATGTGGAGCAGATTTGGAACTGGGTAATGGGCAGAACCTGGGAGAATCTGAAGGTACGTGCTAGAAAAAGCTATGAATTTACCATAAAATGGGGTTATTTTGAGGGCTCTGAAGAAGAGAACTGTAGGGAAGGCCTCAATCTTTTTAGAGATTACCTAAATGGTTGTGATCAGAATATTGATTGAAATGTGTATGATAAAGGTCATTCTGATGAGGTCTCAGATAGAAATGAGAAACATGTCATTGGAAACTTGAGGAAAGGTGATTCTTGTTATTAAGTGACAAGGAACTTGACTGAATCGTGTCCCAGGGTTTCGTGGAAGGTGAAACTTACAAGCACTGAAATAGGATATTTGGTGGAAGTACTGAGGATGTAGCATGGCTTCTCTAAATTGCTTATAGTAAAATGTAAGAAGAGAGAAACAAATTAAAGAAAAAATTATAATCAAAATGGAAGCAGAAAAAGATCTGGAAAATTCTCAGCCTGGCAATGTTGCAAATGAAAAATAGAGAACACCAAGGATGTGACCATTCCACTGTTTGTATTTGATAAGGTTACTATGGATTGGTGGAAGCCAGGGGCTCTTATTCATCAAGCCAATGGACAGAAGAACTCCACAAATGCATCTCAGAGATCATCGGGCTGGCCACTCCCATCATAAGCTTAGAAATCCAGGACCTTGGGAACAGAAAAATTTTAAGTCTCTGCTCTCCCCATTCTGGAACAGCACTCCTTGCCCTGTCTTACTGTTGCTCATGTGGGCCCAGGTACAGCTTGGGCTGCCTCTCTGCAAGGTACAGATGGTAAACAATGATGGCATCTGCACAGTGCCATCTCCACAGGTGTAGATGCACAGAATTTATGAGCTGTGGAGGCACGGATGACTCTAGATTTCAAATGAAGCTCCAGAGAGTCTGAGGACCTAGGCAGTGAACAGCCACAGGAGTGGGGCCACCACAGAGGGATCCCATTAGGGCAATGTCTGGTGAAGCTCTGGGGGTGAGGTCACCCTTGAGATTCCAGAATAGTACAGCCTTCAGCATGCAAGTCTAACCTGTGAGAGCTGCAATACTGGTTGCATTCCGCAAACCCTGTGAGAGCTGCAATACTGGTTGCATTCCGCAAACCCTGTGAGAGCTGCAATACTGGTTGTATTCTGCAAACCCATGTGGGCAGGGCTTCCTGGAAACTTGGGGGCCCGATGCTTGACCCAGTGTGCCTGAAAGGCAGGATATCTACTCAAGAATTATTCTCCAGCCTTGAGATTTAATGTTGTTTGCAACATTACATTTTGGACTTGGGACAAGTTACCACTTTTTTTCCTTTCTATTTCTTCTTTTTGGAATGGAAATGTGTTTTCTATGTCTGTCCAATCATTGTATGTTGGAAGCACATAAGTTGTTTTATTTCACAGGCTCACAGCTAGAGGCAAATTTGCCTCAGGATAATTCCCATCTTGAGTCACACCCATATCTGATTTAGATGATATTTAGATGAGATTCTGCACTTCAGACTTTTCAGTTAATGCTGGAACAAGTTAAGACTTTGGGTGCTAGGTGCGGTGGTTCACGTTTATAATGCTAACACATTGGGAGGCCAAGGCAAGTAAATCACTTGACAAGGTCAGGAGTCGAGACCAGCCTGGCCAACGTGATGAAACCCTGTCTCTACTAAAAACACAAAAATTAGTTGGGTGTGGTGGCACATGCTTATAATCCCAGCTACTTGGGAGGCTGAGGCAAGAGAATGCTTGAACCGTGGAGGTAGAGGTTGCTAAGAGCCGAGATCACACCACTGCACTCCAGCCAGGGCAAAAGAATGAGACTCCATCTCAAAAAAGAAAAGAAAAAAAAAGACTTTGGAGCTATTCGTCTGGAATAAATATATTTTACATGTGAGAAGGACATAAATCCTGGAGGGCCAGGAGTAGAATACTGTGGCTTGAATGTGTTCCCTCAAAATTCTTACATGAAAACCTACTCATCAAAGTGACCATATGAGAAGGTGGGGCTTTTGGGAGGTGATTAGGTCATGAGAACAGAGCCCTTGTGAAAGGGATTAGTCCCTTATAAAAGAGGTGTGAGGAAGCTGATTATCACCTTTTGCCCTTGCACCATGTGAGGACACAGTGAGAAGGTGCTATCTTTAAAGCAGAGAGGGAGCCCTCACCAGACACCCAATCTGTTGGTGCCTTGACTTTGGACTTCTTAGCCTCCATAACTGTGAGCAATAAACTTACGTTGTTTATAAATTACCCAGTCTATGGTATTTTTATTATAGCAACCCAAACAAAGACAGTCATATAAATGATAATACTGAATATGAATTTAGTTATAAATGTGTTAAAACTATATTAGAAGGGGGGTAAGGGTAACTTCATGTGAGAGATGACATATGCAACCTAAATTCTCATCTTGCAACTTAGTATATCAATAGATATCAGTATCTAGGAAATCAAGAAAAAACAGTGTGAAAATTTTATTTAAAATATTTGAAAAATACCAAAAGTAGCTAAAACAAAACAAAACAAAAATTGAAGGTTGCTTCGCTAGAGTGGGAAGAGCATGTAGGGAGATGTAGAGAAGCAATTCCTATATTACATTATTAGTTTTATATGTACGGCACTTTTTTTCTGAGTACACAGGAAATTTTGATAAAAATAAATTTTATTTAAAAAATTGGTGTGCAGTTAGAATGGCGATCATTAAAAAGTCAGGAAACAACAGATGCTGGAGAGGATGTGGAGAAATAGGAACGCTTTTACACTATTGGTGGGAGTATAAACTAGTTCAACCATTGTGGAAGACAGTGTGGCAATTCCTCAAGGATCTAGAACTAGAAATACCATTTGACCCAGCCATCCCACTACTGGGTATATACCCAAGTATATAAATCATGCTACTATAAAGACGCATGCGTATGTTTATTGCGGCACTATTCACAATAGCAAAGACTTGGAACCAACCCAAATGTCCATCATTGATAGACTGGATTAAGAAAATGTGGCACATATACACCATGGAATACTATGCAGCCATAAAAGAAAGGATGAGTTCATGTCCTTTTCAGGGACATGGATGAAGATGGAAACCATCATTCTCAGCAAACTATCACAAGAACAGAAAACCAAACACCGCATGTTCTCACTCATAGGTGGGAATTCAACAATGAGAACACTTGGACACAGGGCGGGAAACATCACACACTGGGGCCTGTCATGGGGTGGGGGTCAGGGGGAGGGATAGCATTAGAATAAATGCCTAATGTAAATGACAAGTTAATGGGTGCAGCAAACCAACACGGCACATGTATACATATGTAACAAACCTGCACGTAGTGCACATATACCCTAGAAGTTAAAGTATAATATAAAAAAATTGGTGTGTATTCTTTAATCACATTATCATCAAATATACTATTTTTAAAAAACCTGTAAGAAAACTAAGCAAAATATTTTCTAAGTAATTTTTGTTAAAATTTGTTTAAAAATTACATTGAAGTGTCATTAATATCTACAGTTTTAAAGTCCATTTTTTAAGAGATATATAAAGAGATATACAAAGTACCATACTTCATGTTTATATTACAAATCTTAAATATATCTCTTATAAAGGAAAGCAACATCAGCTTCCCATGTTGCTGACCTTGTCATGTGTATGCAGATTGAAAAATTGATTTGAGTGTCTGTAGTCAATTAAAACTGTGATATCCCATACAGAATGTTTACTATTTTATTGCTGATTTTATTATCTTCTTTTGGATCAATGACATTCCCAGGGTAAATAAAAGATCTTAGGGGAACCACTATTTTATCACAGGACATCACTTTGAAATTCACAGAAAGCAAATGACAAAAACATTTCTTACCACATAGAGGACTGTAACAAGACAGGAAAACAGAGGTGCTATTGAAATTTTGTCTTAAATTCTCCTACCTGTACCTGGGGATTTTGATTCAAAATAAATACAGAGATATAAAAATTCACTGAAGTTAAAGGATAAGTCAATCAAATACATCTTTTCTTCAGACATACTTTACCTACCATAACTATCTAAAAATATTTTCTTAACACTAACTAATAATCCTAACCATTTTCAAAATGACTCTCCTAACCCTGTAGTTATTCAAGTTGAATGAATACTGAATTACTCATGGTAGAACTTGTGTCTTTCAGGCACATTATAGTAACTACAAATAAGTACCTGGGAGAGTGGATATTGTTATTTTGTTTTTTGTGTTTTTTTTCAGACAGAGTCTTGCTCTGTTGCCCAGGCTGGAGTGCAGAGGTGCAATCTTGGCTGACCACAACTTCTGCCTCTAGGGTTCAAGTGATTCTCCTGTCTCAGCCTCCTGAGTATCTGCGATTACAGGCACACGCCACCACGCCCAGCTAATTTTTGTATTTTTTGTAGAGATGGGGTTTCACTGTGTTGGCCAGGCTGGTCTCGAACTCCTGACCTCTTGATCCGCCCACCTTGGACTCCCAAAGTGCTGGGATTACAGGCGTGAGCCACTGCACCCGGCCAGAGACCTGATATTTTTAAGAACTTGTTCAGCTGTAGGGACTTGAGAAATATATGAAAGAGTACCTGTGAGTTTTTTTTTTTTTTTTTTTTTTTGAGAAATAATATGGCTAAAGTGAACTAATCCTGTTGGTTGCAGAGGAGAGGAGCAGAATGATCACTTACATGAAGAAAGATAATGCATATACAAAATTAGAGCCAAAAGAAGCAGGCACTTCAAAACCTTGACTGAATGTACACGGACACAGGCAGTAAATACACCACTTAAGTAAAGCTAAGTGGCACTGTTCACCACTCCCCTTTCGTTGTTAAAATGTGTGCCTTCATGCATAGCTAGAGCCAAGCAAAGCCATTCTACATCATTTATTTGGCAACTAAATGTGCTGAGCTGATTTTTGCCACTCTACTGGAACCTGCCTTTCTTGTTCCTGACTACACATTTCTGTTTAACAGTTTTTCCCATCTGGAATACATTTACTTCTTTCCTTTATCCAAGCTACAAACCATTTTCTTTCAATGAAGATCTGTGTTGAACTTTTACTGGGAAGGCTTCACTTCCTCATCCACAGTTACTGCTCCTTTTCTAATCGCCCTACAGCAAATAATGTGCATCATTCATTTAGGCATTTATTGTATTCCTCTAAGACTTGCTGCTGATTTTTTATATAAGAACTGATATAGTGTAAGGTACAGTGGACACTTAAAAATCAGTTTTGATTTTAAATTTTACCTCCCTTGTTTCTTACCTGATGAGTTTGAACAAGTTCTCAGCATCTCTCAAACTATTGTTTCCTTATTTGTAATCTGGGAATGAAGCCAACTTCCCTGAGTGGTAACATGGATTTACTGATATAGTTTATTTCTCCTGCTCTATTCAGTGCCTGGCACATGATGGTATGAGAAAAATGTGTGGCCCTTTTCCTTTTCTTTACTTTTAATTCCAGGCCACATTATAGAATCCTGGAGAACAGAATTGCCCTACATTGCCTTGTATCCTGTTCAATGTCTGGCAGTAATTAAGTACCTTGTGGGCACTTACTAAGTAGTTGTTTGAATGAATGTATCAGTTGGGTGCCATGAAGAATCCCTAATGGACCCTCTATTGAGTGCTGTTAGTAGCTACAGGGACTCTTTAGATGTAGTAGAACAAATTCATCACACGTGAAACATCTATTGATTGAGGGTCAATGCTATCATTTTTGAGTATTGAAGAAAACATGGTTATGTCTTTACAGGGGGATAATAAAATCATTATTTTAAACTCATGACATTCTGTTTAGTATTATCTTCAATTTAATAAGCTTGACAGACATGGATAAAAGGTAAAAAGACTGTCAAACATTTTGTGAAGTTAGAGTTTTTTAAAAAATTTTACCCAAATGGATCACCTCATTTTTTTTTAATTAGTAAACTGGAAATCAGTGAAAATTGAGATATTATGTGTTTATGTAGTTCTGCCTCAGGCAACTAAATTTTAGGAATTTCTGGTTCCTTATATCAGGCACCTGATTTACTTTATTTTACTCATTTTGATTTAATTCTGCTCAGTTGATGAATAAAAGAACCTGTGAATGCCAGATATTATCCTAAGGCCAGTATAGTCTTTCTCAAACTTTATACTGCATCAGAAACACCTGCGGGGCTTCGCAAACATAAATTGTAGGGCGCCACTCCCAGAACTTCTGATTCAGTAGGTCTGGGCTGGTGCCCAAGAATTTGCTTTCTAACACTTTGCCAGGTGATGCTGATTCAGGGAACACACTCTGAAAACTACTGCACTGGAGAAGAAAAAGACAAAATCAAGGTTCCTTCTCTAGAGAGGATTAGAGTTTTTATTAGGCTTTGGCAACAATTCTAAAGTGATAAATTGTTTATAAGGACGGTGATGTCTGGGTGTAGAATCTTGAAGTTTCTGATAATTCAAATATTTGAAGATCCAGATTTGAGCAGCCATGTCTTCAGAACAATAAGGAAACTTGAAAAATATGCCTGTAGGCATGTTTTAAAAACTATTTTGACTTCTGATAATGTAGCATTATCTTTAAACCACTATTTCTACATAACTGAAGTAGAGAGAAAGTTAAATCTAATATTAATTAGGAGTTGCCTATATGACTATTTTTGATCACTCTCTTCTAATTTGATCAGTTATACATTTGAATTGATAATGCAGTCTATTTTAAAGATAATAGAATATAGTTTGCCTAAGTAAGAATCTTTTCACACATAAAAATCACACATTTAGAGTTCTAAATTCATTTTTTTAAGTTAATGGAGTATGTATAGAGGTATAACATCATTAGATATTTTCAGAAAAAAAGCTGTTAAAGTGATCTACACAATGAGTTCAACTAAAAAATAGATTTTGACAATTTAAGAGGAAATTAAATAGGCCTGCATGAGGTAGTTTAAGGAATCTACCATTTAGATTAGATTTGGAGAAGACCATTATCAGATATACTTCATTTTAAACACTAAAAATGTAATTTTTACATTGAAGTTTAAAGGGAACTGGAAGTATTTCAATGCCATTTGAATTCCAATGTGACAGGCCAAATAGAAAGCTTATTTTGGTAAGAAGTTTCTTAAACACTTGTGAAATTTATTAAATCCTTTTTTTCTAAGCCTACTTCTTGATAATCTCATGGACTACCATATTTTGTAAATATTGGAAATAATTCTATTCTTACAAAGGATTTTTATTAAGATAAACTAGGGTTTGTTACACTATATTTTAAAATCAATTCATTAATTCACCAGCTACTATGAGGAATCTTTACATCTTCAGGTACTAGTCTATGTGCTGTGTAGAAAACAGAAGTTCAGAGAAATCTAAACTTCAGGCATTGGAGAGGTAAGGAAGCTGCAGAAGGTAAGTTGGAAGCTAGTAGAGGCTGGTTCATGAGGGTGCATAATAGAAGTCATCTCTGTAACATAAAAGTGCAAGGTGAAGTAGCAAGTGCTGATGTAGAAGCTACAGCAAGTTATCCAGAAGATCTAGCTAAGATCATTGACGATGGTGGCTACATTAAACAAATTTTCATTTACATTAAAGGAAGATGCCATTGGGACTTTCATAACCAGAAAGTCAATGCCTGGCTTCAAAGTTTCGAAGGACGGCTGACCATCCTGTTAGGGTTAATATAGCTGATGACTTTAAGTTGAAGCCAGTATTCCTTACCATTTCAAAAATTCTAGGGCCCTTCAGAATTATACTAAATGTATTCTACCTGCACTCTGTAAGTGGGACATTAAAGCCTGGATGACAGCACATCTGTTTACAGCATGGTTTACTAAATATTTAAGTGCACTGTTGAGAACTACTGCTCAGAAAATGAGATTACTTTGAAGATATTACTCTTTATTGACAACACACTTGGTCACCCCAGAGCTCTGATGGAGATGTACAAGGAGATTAATGTTGTTTTCATGCCCGCTAATACAACATCCAGTCTGTAGTCCATAGATCAAGGGGTAATTTTAACTTTTAAGTCTTATCACCCTTAAGAAATACATTTCATGTCTATAGCTGCCATAAATAGGTGATTCTTCTGATATATTTGGGCAGAGTAAATTGAAAACTTTCTGGAACAAATTCATCATTCTACATGCCATTAAGAATATTCATGATTCATGAGAGCATGTCAAAATATCAACATGAGCAGGAGTTTAGAAGAAGTAAATTTCAGCACTCATGAATGACTTTGAAGGGTTCAACAGTTCAATGGAGGAAGTAATGGCAGATGTGCTGTAAATAGCAAGGGAATAAGAATTAGAATTGGAGCCTGGAGATGTGACTGGATTCCTGCAATCTCATGATTAAATTTGAATGAATGAAGCATTGAATCTAGTGAATGAGCAATAAAAGTGGTTTCTTGAAGTGGAGTCTATTCCTGGTGAAGATGCTGGGAACATTGCTAAAATGACAAAAAATAATTTAGAATATTCCATCAACTTAATTGATAAAGCAGCAGCAAGGTTGAGAGGATAGACTCCAATTTTGACAGAAGTTCTTCTCTACTCTGGGTAAATGCTATCAAATAGCATGGCATGCTACAGAAAACCTTTTGTGAAAGGAAGAGGTGATTGGTATGACAAACTTCACTGTTTTCTTTTAAGAAATTACCACCATTACCTCAACCTTTAGCAATCACCACCCTGATCAGTCAGCAGTCATCAATATCCTGGCAAGACTCTTCATCAGCAAAAAGATCCTGACTCACTAAAGGCCCAGATGATTGTTGGCATTCTTTAGCAATAAATTATTTCTAATGGCCCTATGTACATTTTTTTCTTTGGCATCATACTATTGCACTTACTATGCTACAGTATAGTGCAAACATAACATTTACATGTGCTGAGAAACCAGAAAATTTGTTCTGGTTTGGAGACATCGTGTGATGTCTCCAAAATATGCCTGTATTTGGTGAAAGAAAAATATTGAACTTTTTTGACGGGTTGCATGTGACACTGTGGGGGCAAGTATAGCATCCAATTTGGCTTTAGGGTTGTATGTAACCTGAGTAACTGGGTAAATGATGATTCCGGTCTGCTTATGCCTTTTTTCTTCGTTTAAAAAGATTTTAATGGAAGTTCAGTAATGAGAGAACTTCAAACAGCACGTATTCCGAGAGTTAGAATGCAAAATTCAGATTTTATCTTTCTTTAAATACACTAGAGCAGAGGGTCCTGGGAATTTCCTTAGAAAATACTGTGAGGTCAAAACGTGGACCTAGCCAAAACCACCCAAGTTTATGCATCAGTCCCCCCATCGTTTGAAGGAGGTATACATTTATCTGTGTCCATTAGTAGTGTTGTTTGAGAATAAATCTAGATCTACTACTTACTATTTTTGTGGTACCTTGGTTACGTTATTATGTAATTCTTCCAAGCTTCAAATTCCTAGTCTGTTAGGGATCATAATAGTTCTTACCATATTGAATTGTTTTGATGATTAAACAAGTTAATATGTACAAGGTACTTAGCACAATGCCTGGCTCATTGTAAACACTTAATGGAACTTAGTTATTGTTATATTTATTTCATGTATTAGAATTCTGTATATGATTTTCTTCGGGATAAATAATTACCAGTGGGTACTTAAATCTGCTGGACATCATTATCCCACATCATGCGAATAATTTTCAAAATCTATAATAGTACTTACTCCCCAAGACTTTAAGGAAAAACAAGAATAAGGAAAATGACACTTGTACATTTCATTTGATTTTTAACCTTCTGTATTACAGTCCCCAAATGAAATTGTTATTACTGACCTTTGTAGAAAAGATACAGTTACTACGAAGACAAGAAGATATACTAGCTTTCACTCCCATCTACCCTGGCTGCAATTGCTGTGCTGTCCAACAGTGTCTGTGAATTAGATATCAAACTGATTTATGTGGGAAAAAAATGTGTTACAAACCCAACGGTTTCAGATTGAACAAAAGATTTTTCTCTTTGCCATTTGCCTCAGTAGGATTCTCAGCTCAGATCCAGTTCTTCCCAACCCCTCATTAAAGTGACTACATTTTACTAAACCCATCTCCCTGCTCTGTTTTACAGAGTGCCCGCCATCATTTAATTTCATATATCAAGCAAAACTATTAGCATAGGTCCAAATAAAAGAGCCAGAAATCTTGACTTATACCCTAGGTGGTAATCAGCCCACTTTAAGTGAGCTAAGTAGAATACTTGTTACTTTGGGCTACCCTCACAAACTCTCATAGACACTTAATAGAAATAAAAGCTCAGTAATCAAACAGGATATAATGGAACCTAGGTAGGTAGTGTTTACCAGTTAAGAACATAAAGATTTTTTAAAACTCCATTTCTTAAAATGATCTCAGCGCACACACACATTCACACACATCGCATACAGAAGAGAAAACATTCTCTTCTTGAAAACTTTTCAAGGGCTGTGTGTGGTGGCTCACAAGTGTAATCCTAGCACTTTGGGAGGCCGAGGCAGGAGGATCACTTGAGGTCAGGAGTTTAAGACCAGCCTGGGCAACATAGAGAGATCCTCTCTCTGCAGAAAATTAGCTGGATGTATTGGCACGTTCCTGTAGTTCCAGCTAGTCAGGAGGCTGAGGTAGGAGGATCCCTTGAGCCCAGGAGTTCAAGTTACAGTGAGCTGTGATTGCATCACTGTACTCCAGCCTGAGAAGCAGAGCAAGATTCCTCTCTCTGGAAAAAAAAAAAAAAAAAAAAAAAAAAAAAATCTATTTTCAAGGAAAACAATATAAGCACTAAATATAAAAAAAATGATCCTCAGTTTGAGTGTGAGAGAGTGTTAGTTAAGATGAGGACTCTAAGTATCTGGTGAACGTGACACTGCTGTGGTAACCTGGACAGATGGGGCAGAGTCCCATGACAGTGGGTTGAAAAGTGAATAGAGAGTGACAAAGAGGATACAGTAGCTTTCACTTTAAGGATGATTAGTAAGGGAGAATCTATAATAGAAGCCATGGAAGAGCACAGCTTTAAGGAATGGTTACTTGCTCACTAGCTTATATGTTTTTTTTTTTTCAAGTTGAGTAAAACCATACGATAGCTATAGACTGAAGGACGAAGGTAGCAAAGAGAGAGAAATTAAAGGTACAAGCTAAGGGTAAAGAACTGAAAAATCAATGTTTAAAAATGACAAATAGTAGTTTTTTATTTTTAATTTTGAGTCTTTTGTAAATACTTTAAGGGTAAATGACTGTATAGCATTAACATATAGAAAAAGTAATCATTGTAAACAGCTGTACTTATAAAATGTTTGCAGTTGCTAAAACTACTAGTTAATGGTAGTTTAGAAAAAAATAATTTTATTATAAAGGAGCAATGACAACTTTAAATGGGTAGTGATAAAATTTGAAAGAAAAATGATTTTACTACCTAGTTTTAATTTGACAGATTCTATGTACCTGCTGGTTGGCATAAAATATGCTTTAAAATTTTTTCCCTAAAGTTATTTTTATGTTGAATCAACAGTACTCAATGAAAGTATTTCTATTACAATTTAATTTAGAGTTTGTTTCTGAAGTATTGTGAAAAATTTTAATATGATAAAGTAGGAAACACTTTTGCTCAAGAATCGGATATACGTGGGTTTAAATCTTGATTTCTTTGCTCTCTCACCTTTGGTAAGTAACTTAAGCAGGCTAAGCCTCCATTTCTGCATCCATAAAATGAGGATAATGATAGAATGTTTCTCAGATGTGTTTTTGAGGATCAAAGGATTCATCTATGGCATGAAAAGGCTAAAAGCAGGGCCCGGTCAATAAATATTAGCTATTATATTTATTGTTTATTTCTAGTTTGTCTCTTTACTTCTAAAGCACTTCAATCTATATATTTTTTAAAAATGCAAAAAAAAAGAGTTTTTTCAATTCCTCATTTGTATACACTTTGCCACAGAATAGAAGCCACAGGGATTTTGTCCCACTTAATATATGGCTTCATAATCTGAATGATCTTGGGAAAACTGGGATAACTCATCTTGCACACTACACACTAACAGGGAATTATTAAAGGTAGTAACCTAAATTGGATCCATAAATACATCGGTATCACGCAGCAAATTTTTTTCTGCTAGGTAGGAGAACTTACATACTTGTATTGTTATTGGACTCTAATGACAACAAGGTGAGAAACGAAGTCAACATAATTTAGGAGGCTCCTCTCCCTCACTCCGGAAATACACATGGATTTCACAATTCTCGCTATGTTCTATGGAAATCCAAGACAAACATTGTTGTGTATTCACACACACATGAGATATTCCCACTTCAGAGATAACATAAACATAGAGGCAAAGGTAAAATACGGCTGAGAATTCTGTGTTAAACTGGACTTCTGTCAAGAGAGTCTACAAAAAATAATTTAAAAAAGCACAGTAATATTTAAAACATATATTATATTCCTTCAGACACTAAAGACAATGGTCTCAGAAAAGCATAATTTTTAAATGAAAATTTTACCATCATAATATATGATTTTGTTAGATACACTACGGTTACATCCTAAGTGCATTAGAAATTTTAATGGGCTTAGTTCCCTAACTTCTCCCACTAGGAACCTCTACTGTAGACAATTGGCCATGCTACTGACAGAAATGTGAAATGATAAATGTTAAATTCATGTTTTATCTTTTTTGATGTTTATTTTTAATCATTTTTATTTGATAAGACTTCTTTTACTGGAGAGTCAGAATGAACTATCATCTTTCAAAGAATGAAAGGAAGACAATTCTTTCTATTTATGATTTAGGATGTTGTTTCACTTTAGGCTCATCACATTAAAAGCAGTAAGCAAAATGAGATTGGTGAGGAAAAATTTCTTATCACTAACAACTTCTAATTATCCAATCTATAGCTTATTTGGAATATATTTCTTCCAAGTTAATTAATAATGTTTAGATTTTTCTGTTCAATTAAGTTTGTGGTTATCAATTTATTTCTTTTTAAAAAAATCAATTTCCATTATCGGCAGAACATATTCTACTAAAATACCCATTTGCTTATTAACTGTTGATTATTAAACCAATAATTATAATTTGCTTTTATGCACCCATTATTATGACTGCTATTAGCTCCTACTTTGCAGGTATCTAGGAAGATGTTTAAAAGCCAAAGTTAAAGCCTCAAGATTTCTCATGACTGTCTGAGAAAGAGGTCCACTCCTAATGCAGATTCTGAGTGTTGCCCTGAAAATCTATTTATCCTCACATGGTGCTTTGTTGGATTGGAGGGGAAAACTGGGACAGCTTCTCACCTCCTAGAGAACCAGGCTCCTCAAAATAGCTGTTTGAACTAAACTTTTACATATATAATATTTTTTTCAAAACATGGAAAAAGGACTCCAGAACCAATTAAAAAAGATTTCTGACATCTACAATTTCGAATTCTTCTTTCCATGAGTCTAAAAACATCTAAATTTTATTTCTCTAGGAGTTTTATGTATGAAAATTGAGCTTTAAGGAGTAAAAATGTTTTGGCTTATAAATCCCTTGACCAAAATTTTTGGTATTGGATGCATATCTTTGAAAAAGAAAATCCACAGGGCTTTTAAAATATGGTTCAATATACTTTTCAAAAATCTAGTAAGGCCCACATGAAAAGATGTTTATCATTATTAAGCATTATGCTGTGTGCGGTGGCCCACGCCTGTAATCCCAGCACTTTGGAAGGCTGAGGCAGGTGGATCGCTTGAGGTCAGGAGTTCGAGACCAGCCTGGCCAACATGATGAAACCTCGTCTGTACTAAAAATACAAAAATTATCTGGGCATGGTGGTACATGCCTCTACTTCCAGCTACTGGGGAGGCTGAGGCAGGAGAATTGTTTGAACTCAAGAGGCAGAGGTTGCGGTGAGCCGAGATCATGCCACTGCACTCCAGCCTGGGCGACAGAGTTAGATTCTGTCTGAAACAAAACAAAACAAAACAAAATAAAAGGTCTAAAATAAAAAAACAATGATAACATTGAATGCTGTGAGGCTGTGGAAACAATGTGTCACCCACATATTGCTAGTAGGAATATAAAACAATGCAGTTAGCCAAGAAAAAGTGTATGGCAGTTGCTTACAAAATCAAATAGGCACTTACCATATCACCCAGCAATTACACTATTGGACATTTACTCTAGACAAATAAGAAAGTATGTCACACAAAAACCTGCACATGAATTTTAATAGCAATTTCATTCATAACAGCCCCAAACTGGAAGCAACCCAGAGGCTCTGGGTTAAATAAACATTTTAAACTGGTATATTCATGCCATGTATGTTAGCTCAGACTTCTCTGTAAGAAAATACCACACTCTTGGGTGGCATAAACAACAGAAATTTATTTATTTATCACTGTTCTGGAAGCTGGAAGTCCTAGGTAAGGGTGCCAATTAGTTTCCGGTGAGGGCTGTATTCTTGGCTTGCAATAGCCACCTTCTCTCTGTGTCCTTATATGACAGAGAAAAACAGAAATCTCTCTTCCTCTACTTCTAAGGCCCACAGTCCTATCAGATTAGGTCCCCACTCATGACCTCCTTTAACCCGAAAGACCCTATCTCCAGATACAGTCATATCGGGGGTTAAAGCTTCAACATATGAATTTTGGGAGGGACAAAATTCAGTCCACTGCACTATGGACTACTTTGGACTACATGGATTATTACTCAGCCATGAAACAACTTAGATGAATCTCCAGAGAATTCCACTGAGTGAAAAAAAGCCAGTCTCAAAAGGTTACATACTGTGTAATTTCATTTACATAACATGCTTGAAATTACAAAATTATGGAGATCGAAAGTAAATTAGTGGTTGCCAGGTGTCAGGGTTGGGGTTTTGGGGGGAGGTATCTGAGATCATAATAGCACAAAGGAGACTTTAGATGAAATTGTTCTCTCTCTTGGCTGTGGCGGTGATCACATGAAACTACACATACAATAACACTGCATTGAGTTAAACATACACATACATACACAAAGGAGTGAATGTAAGACTTGTGAAATCTGAATAAGCTCGATGGATTATATCAATACCAGTTTTCTAGTTTTAATATTGTGCTCTTGTTATGTAAGACGAAATCCAGGGAAGGGTATACTTGATTACTCTATATTATTTCTCATGACTACCTGTGAATTTTTAATTACCTCTAAATACAAAATGCATTTAAAAATCCTAAAAGAAAAATCCAGGCTGGTTGCAGTGGCTCAACACTTGTAATCCCAGCGCACCAAGGCAGGCAGATCGCTTGAACTCAGAAGTTAGAGACAGGCCTGGGCAAATAGCAAGACCCTGTCTCTACCAAAAACATATAAAAATGAGCTGGGTGTGGTGGCACATGCCTATAGTCCCAGCTGCTTGGGAGGATGAGGTTGGAGGATCACTTGAGACCAGGGGGTGGAGGTTGCAGTGAGCCATGATCACACCACTGCACTCCAGCCTGGGCAACAGAATGAGACGTCTCAAAAAACAAACAAACAATAGAACTAACAAGGACAATTTTATGTAAGCCAAGTTATGATAATAAGTTGGTTGTGTTTTCTTACATAGGATATTAACATGGAAGTTTTATATTTTATCATCAATTCCAAGCTTATCAAATTTAAAAATCTTTAGTAAGCATGGGCTCTGCCTTTCTTGATTGCCATTTCTTTTTATCTCTTCCTCCCTCCCTCTCTTTCTTCTTTCCTTCCTTCCTTCCTGTCCTAGGATATAATGAGCTAGGAAATAAATTTCAGCTCCTAAGAGATGAAAGACTCATAGCTGTTAGTCTATTATAGCACTAATATGCTCTATGACAAATTCTCAGTTCTTAAAAATGGTGCTTAAAAATGGGAAAAAAGACTGTTTTTTTCCACTTTAATATTGAGAAACCTCTCTTGAATCTGACTGGAATTTGGTCAAAAAAATCTATTGGATTAATTTTCTAACTAGTTTCTTAAGCACAGCACATTAAGAAAATCAATTCATCTAAATAGTCTAATTATACATATAAATAAAAATAATGTCTTGATTTTTAAGGCAATACAATTTCCTTCTAACTCTTCAATATAGCCAATGAAATAAAAAGTGAAACATGTTGTTAAGAACAGAAAAATAATATTTTCTTCATGAAATATGCCTCATTTCTAATTAGTGATGTTTTCCTAAGAGAAAGAAACTTGGCAGAGCAATAGTGAATCATTGAACTGAAAAAAAAAAAAGTTTAAGATGTGATATTTTTAAAGATGCAATTCAAATATTCAATCTCATTATCAGTTAACTTTATTTTCCCCAAACTTTAGTAATTTGAATCAAAACTTCTGAGACTCATTTGGTCTTGGTGCAATTAAAGTTTCTCTTTATCTTAACTTAGATTCTTTAAAGTGGCAGTATGCTTTCTGCAATATAGCTATAACTCTTTTTAAATAGTTGTTTTGGAATCAACCCATTCACAAATGTGTGGGTCCATTGTATTATGTTTTTGATTAGATATATTTTCCAATAGCAACTGTCATTATTTTCTTTTTTTTTTCTTTTTTTTGAGATGGAGTCTCGCCCTGTCGCCCAGGCTGGAGTGCAATGGCTGGATCTCGGCTCACTGCAACCTGTGCCTCCCAGGTTCAAGTGATTCTCCTGCCTCAGCCTTCCAAGTAGCTGGGATTAAAGGCACGTGCCACCATGCTTGGCTAATTTTTTGTAACTTTAGTAGACACGGAGTTTCACTATGTTGGCCAGGCTGGTCCCGAACTCCTGGCCTTGTGATCTGCCTGCCTGGGCCTCCCAAAGTGCTGGCATTATAGGTGTGAGCCACCGCGCCTGGCCAATTCTCATTATTTTCATCAGAAATAATGGCAAATGTTCCCAACCTGACAGCTTCAGCCTGTCAGTATCCATGACAATAGAATATCAGACATTAGCAGGTCCTTTGACTACCACAAAACTTAAGAACACATCACTGGTAATGTAGACTTCAGAAGCATTTTAATTGAACAATTCTTGTGGTATATGTTTTTAAACTTGTAGGTGAAGATGAAATATATTGACCTGAGGTCAGGAAGGATATCATGGCCCAATTTGCCCCAAATTTCTGTTATTAAATAGATAATTCATATGACCTCAAATAGTAAACTAATAGGAAAATCACTGGGATATAATGATAATCTAGCAATTTTCCAATTAACAAGTTGGCTTTAGAGCTATATTGAAATGTGATGACTTTGAATCTCTTTACTAACACACCTCTGGTCATATGAAGCTATGGCTATAAAATCACTAAAAGAACTATGAACTTGAGTGTGCGGGACTTCAATTTACTTTCTAACACTAATTAGTTATATAATGCTAAGTAAATCATTGAGCGATACTGAGCATTATTTCTTTTATTTTGGAAATAAATAACAATATATGCCTATATGAGAGTAATTATTTTCTCTTTCCATGACATCCTTTTCTTCGTAAACCTCCTCTTCCTATGGCCCTCCACTGAACAGGAATGGTTGATTGGGTCCTACGTGGACAAGTTATTTAACAAACATTTATTTGGAAGCCTGGTTTAGGACACAATTGACAAAAATCTGTTTGTTCATGAAGCTTACATTCTGGTGAGATGTCAAAGGAATAGAGGGATATAATAAACATATAGTAAAATATATAGAATGTTAGATGAGGATAATTTCTTAAGAGAAATTTAAACTGTGGAGCAAGCTTAGGGAATATTGGGAGAGGAATTTCAATTTTAGATAGTCAGAAAAAGCCTCATTGAGAAGACAATGTTTAAACAAAGAGTTGGAGAGAGTGAGGGAGTGAGCCATGCAGCCATCTCAGGGAAGAACATTTAAGTCAGGAGGAAAGACCACACAGTTGAGAATGTACCTGGCACATGTGAGAAAAAGCAAAAAGTCTGTATTGCTGGAGCCAAGTGAGTAACATAAAGAACAAAATGTTAAAAGATCAGAAAGGTAATGGGTTGAAAGTAGGTAATACAGAACCATGTAGATCATTGCAAAGCCTTTTTATTTTACTACAAGTGAGATAGGAAACCTGACCAGAGAAGTGACATGATCTAAATTTTTAAAAGATGATTCTACTTTTTGTACTGAGTATAAACCGTAGGTGGCATGGGCAGATGCAAAGAGATGAATAATCCAGGCAGGAGTACATGATGGTTTGGCCTAGACAGTAGTGCTGAAGTACCGAGCAGACATTATTTTCTGAGTATATTTAAAAGTAAAGCTAAATGGAATAGTTCTTGAATTGCATATAGGTTAAAAAAAAAAAAGAATCAAACATGACTCTAAGGAAAATCGTCATTGAAATTTGGTCATTTTACATTTTAAAGCCTATTTGACATCTAAGTGGATGTGCGCAATAGGCAGTCGGGTATGTAAGACTGTAATTCAAAGGAGAAGTGTATGCTGGAAACAGTTACCCAAAGCTGCGCCAATCAGATCCTCTTTCTGGGAATTGGATTTATGACACAGAAACAGATCTTGGTTGACATTAGAGTTTGATGTATAGAATTTGGGTCAGAATTAATGCCCCCAAAATGCAAAACCAAAATAAAACTGCTATTATGGCGAAGCAGGAACTGTCTGGTAGAGAAACCTATCTATATCTCAATGGAAATAAGAATGAAACACACATCCGGATGTGATGTGCACCCAAGCCCAGAGAAACATCAGATGACCAGAGATATGACTGACATTGCTGCAACTGGATTCCATTGTTTATTACAATTAAAAAAGGGGGGGGCCCAGCACAGTGGTTCATGCCTGTAATCCCAGCACTTTGGGAGTCCAAGGCGGGTGGATCACTTGAGCCCAGGAGTTTAAGACTAGCCTGGCCAACGTGGCGAAACCCCATCTCTAATAAAAATACAAAAATTAGCCGGGTGCATTGGCTTAAGCCTGTAATTCCAGCAACTTGAGTGGCTAAGGTAGGAGAATTGCTTGAGCCCAGGAGGTGGTGATTGCAGTGAGCCAAGACCGCGCCCACTGCACTCCAGTCTGGGTGACAGGAGTGAAACCTCTGTCTTAAAATAAAATGGTTATGTGATGATGTGAAGTTTGTTTTACTTGAAATCTAATTATTGCCAAAAAACATAGCCTATACAAGGCATGATGAAAATAATAACATTCATTGTTTTCCTTTTCAAGTTAAACCTGTGTTATTGTACAGCTTGAAACATACTTGAATATGATGAAATTTTGCATATTTATAAGTGTCATTCAAAATCACTTGATTCCTTCAGTGAGAATTTTTACAGATATCTCAGTAGAAGTTTGGATTGTTTTCTTGATTCCTGCAATTACATTTAGGTGAAATTTGCCTCTAGATGTAGGATAATTGAATCCATTCACCCTTAAGTCATGTTTGAGAATGTATGAGAAGCTCAAGCCACAATAAGCTATTCAGCACAAGTGGGCACATTGAGCTTTAGTGTATAAAATGTTTTATACACTTCAATCTTGTAAATTATTCTGTACATTCAACCACTGAAAAATAACTCCTTCTCTATTTCTGTGATATAAAGGATGCTTTTAAAGAGGCTTGCCCTTTATAATATTTGACCCTTGGCAATGACTCCTATTTTAGGCAATCTATGTATATTGACTATATCTGCTTCTTACTGAGAAAATATCAAGCAATCAAATATTGAATACATTAGGGCTAATTTGTTATATAAACAACAAAGTTAGTAAATCACTGGACATTAAAATCTTGGTAAGACTGTGAATATCATATTTTCGAGACTACTTGTCAAATTACTAAGTTGTATATAACTATTTTTGTATGTATTTTAGAAAGAATCAAAGTTTTTCAAGATAATTTGCTATATTTCAACTGGGTGTGAAAGTACATCAATAAAGACACATATTTCTGGTTTGTGTGCTCAAAAATAGGCAATAAATATTTTCTATAATTTTTACACTTAGCCTATTTTAAGTTTGTGTGTGTGTGTGTGTGTGTGTGTGTGTGTGTGTGTGTGTATTTCATTGTGTTGAAAAAAGCCACTTGGAAGAATAATATAACTTTCAGGGAAGGAGTGAATACATGTTCTTTTTATTCACTGTTTTTTAAAAAATAGTACTTGAGGCCACTGAATGATCCCCTAGTCATCTGAGGGAATATTTAAATAATGCTCTGTTTCTATAGTTTGAAAACTGACCTAGAACTAAGAAGGTAAATAAAATATTAACTTTTATTTTAATTGTTATCCTACCAGTGTCCTTTTGCTCAGAGCCAAATGCAGCAAGTTTCATGGGCACAAATGGACCACATTTTCAGTACTGGTGATTATAGTGAAAGTATTTTTATGCCAGAAACTGGGTTGATTTAAGAAGTAACCCTAGAAATTATATATGTAATAGCTTTCATATAAAATTTGATTCCTTAAAAAATGAGTATCTCTAGTCACGGTTCTGTTTCTCTTTTTCTGTAAGATCTTAAGTTGAAGCTAAAGACTCTGTTTTTATTTTTGCTAAGAGCAAGGAAATAGCCAAAACAGAGTCAACTCCAATTGCCCATGTTTAAATTTTAAAAGAGATGACTATTATTTATTTATATAACTAATAAATTAATTTATGGAATCCCATGATTTCTTATTAATAGTACATTCTACTTGTAGTGATATATTTTTTATCTATTTGTTCATTCTTTTGACTGGCTAACTAAATATACATATATATACACACATTTTTGAGCTGCTTTCTTGAAGTAAGACGTATAGCTAGTGAGAGAAAACTGTCCTTATCTAATGAGATTTCATCTAAAACTTTTTAATGATGCCTTTATTATGGTGAATTTGAAATATTAACAAAAGTCTTTCTTTCTCTTTCTTTCTTCCCCTTTCCTTTCCTTTCTCTTTCTTTCTTCCCCTTTCCTTTCCTTTTCTTTCCTTTCCTTTCCTTTCCTTCCCTTTTCTTTCTTTTGAGATAGAGTCTCACTCTGTTGCTCAGGCTGGAGTGCAGTGCTGCGATCTCAATCACGGCTCACCGCAAACTCTGCCTCATGGGTTCAAATGATTCTTATGCCTTAGCCTCCCAAGTGGGTGGGATTACAAGAGTGCACCACTACACCTCGCTAAGTTTTATATTTTTAGTAGAGATGGTTTCTTTTGCCATGTTGGTCAGGCTGGTCTTGAATCCATGACCTCAAGTGATGCACCTGCCTCGTTCACCCAAAGTGCTGGGAATACAGGTGTGAGCCACTGCACCCAACCATATATATGTTTATATTTATATACTCACCACCACCACCCTAAGTTACTTTGAAACAAATCTATAAAATTTTTCAGAATGCATCTCTAAAATATTAGAAATTTTAAAACATAATCCAAATACTAAAATCATACCTAGAAAAAAAATGATTTCTTAATATCATCAAGTTTTCAGTTAATGTTCAAATTTTCAAATAACTCATATATAAATTAATTTTGCAGCTCATTTGAATCAGTATCCAAATAAAGTACATGTGTTACTATGTGTTAAGTTTTTCTTTTTAGTGTATTTTAATCTATAGGCTCATCCTTCATTACTCTTTTATTTCCTTTCTTGCCATTTTCTGTTGGTGGTGGTGGTTGTGTTGCAGAGAAACCTAATATCTATTTTCAAAAAAGGAGCCTACCCAAATTTAAGCACATTCAGGGAAGAGACCTCAGGATGCAATATAGACTTTTAAAAACGATATAGAGAACTACTAAAATAACTAAGACAACAAAAACCAGGTGACTAGCATACCTTGATGGATTTGATAGTTGTTGAAGTCAAAATAAAAATTAGCACCAAGGAGCAGGCTGCTGGTTGGAATCTCTTTGGAGACAGATCTGTATCAATATAACTGTGCAACAACTGGAGCCATCAAACAAGGAATGGGGTGCCTCTAGAGTATGAATTTGTCATTGAAGCAATTCAAGAGTAACTTCAAAAAGACACAATTTCTTTTAAAATAATGAGAAACAACAATTGCTTGCTGTGTCTCAGAACAAAGCTGGAATTCAAACAATTTTTACATTCCCTTTCTGATGTTATTTACTCTTCTTGCTGTCACTTTCACTACCTCTCTTATGAAACATACAAGATTTTTACTCTCTCACCGCCACCATGCACACAACTTGCTCCCATTAACTGTAGTGGTAAGTGGATTAGTAAAATAATTGTCAATGCACTGCCTCTCTCCTGACTTAATGGACTACAAATTGAAGGCTCATTACAGAGCATCTGCTTAGTGGAGCCCAAATCATATCTAGCAACCTATGAGCTAGCACACTGGTTTAGATTCTCAAAGCAGACTCACGAGAATCAGAGACCTTACTCAGTAGTAACCTAGTACTTATTTCAAGGAGACAGACAAGAAAAGCCTCAGACCAAGCACAGAGAGAACAGACATTAAGGGTGGTTCCCCAGGTTCTTCCTTCTCATGTCTGACAAGCAGCTCTGGCCAGAAGAGATTATATCCCTGCATTATCCCTACATGAGGCTTCTGGGATTCCTCATAAAGCAGTGATTGTTAAATTCTGAAACATCTTCATTTTATACTCCAGATAGTTCTATAGTTTATGTGTGGCATTCCTTACAGATGGCCATGCCTTACCGATACAGGGTTATGTTTACTAAGTTTCATTATTCTTTGCCAGCACATCATGCTGACAGCATTGCAGAGATAAGGTCTCTTTCTCCAAATATTTTTAGTCCATTTTCCTGGATGTCCAGCTGACAAGGAGAATAGACCCAGGTCACCTGACTTCTTTTCTTTCCCACAGGTGATGTTCTCCAAATGAAGGGAGTGTAGAGAGAGCAGACCAGTGGCTATAACTCCTTCTACCCACTTTAGATGTTGGGGTTTGAGAAAATGTAAATTTTTAGCTTTAAAGTGTCAACAGCATAAGAAACACTTTAATAGATAGATACTAAAATTTTTAGCTAACAAATTACAGTCC
This sequence comes from Homo sapiens, assembly GCF_000001405.40. Lineage (NCBI taxonomy): Eukaryota > Metazoa > Chordata > Mammalia > Primates > Hominidae > Homo > Homo sapiens. The sequence continues at coordinate 93,166,195 of NC_000004.12, read as the reverse complement.
ACTACAATTTTTCATTCACTTTATCTTTACTCACGTATGTTAGTGTTTAAATGCTAGCTCCAATTCTCTCTTTCCATGTGGAAATCATGAAGACTGCAGGCTATGTGAATCCCACTCAACTTTCATTTGCTCCTTTTACCTAAAAGATACAACTAGTATTTTATAACGTAATGCCTTATAAGTGCCTATACATATGATTTAGTGCTTTAAGATAAAACACCTTTAATTTGCTAGTATTCTCCACTCCTAGTATTGTAACAATATAGATATTCAATGCAATATTGGTTGAGTATTAATAAATACAAATGACATTCCTCTAATTTTCAGTGTTTAAATTTCTGCTCCCTATTTGTGGTTCTAATAGGTGGTTTTGCGCCGTCCATCAATCTTCCAAGCTTTAAGAAGCACCTCCTGTCTGCACAGTATTTTTAATTAAAGGGAGTCCTTTTAATTATGGAATGTTCATTTATGTTAAGTTGCTACTATTGTTGATAAGACTCAGCTCTGATATGAAAAAGCAGATACTCTGAGAGAAAGAGGAGTTAGCGCAAAACTAAAACATCATGCTTCATGCCTTCTCCTTTGGGACTCTGCTCTTAGGGAAGCTCTTTTGGAAGAGTCATAACAGGCACACCAAGTTTTCCTATTCTGATTCTCTGCTGTCAACAGTTCCCTCCTTTCATTTACTCTCTCCAGTTTCACTACTGTAAGACACCTGAAAGGAAAGTCAGGGAGGTAAATGACAGAGGATTCTCATATCTCCTCTTTCCTGTGTCCCCTCTGTCTTAGATTCATTTATTCTAATCTTTAGCAATCCCACACTCTATTAATAACCTTGACTTTGGCTATATTTAGGGGCTTCTGCTCAGGCTCCTGGTCTTTTCTTCTCTTTGCAGTATGAATTTATAGAAAAGAACAACAACCTACTATGACATTGCTCTCTCTTTTTCCTTTCCTCTCCTTCCGCCAGTTGTAAGTTGCCAAGTCTGAGGACTAACAGTTGATGTGATATCTGCTTACATAATAATAACAAAATAATTTATATTTCTTTGCAATTGCTAGTATTAGGCACTGTGTTAAACCCTTTGCAGGAATTACCTCATTTAATTATCCCAACAATCCTATGAGGAAGTTATTATCTCCATCTTCCAGATGAGAATGCAGCCTTCAGAGAAACTGAAAAACTTCTCCAGGGTCTTCCTGCTAAGCAAGGATATGAACACAGGTGTGTGAAATAACAGTGCTCATACTCTGAACTCTTACGTCATAGTGCCTCTCTGGAAAGGGGCTGCAGATACGTTATTTTCCTTAACACGTCAATATCAGAGGTACGCATGAATTAGAGAACAGTAGTCAAAGCTTACTTTATTTACTCCAATTGTCACGTAAGTGTCTGTGCTCTGGCATGAAAACAAAAATCACTCACATTCTTTCCTCCCTAAGTGTTTTTCTAAAACGACATCTGAAAAATGAAAGGAAAAAAATTAAGCATATTTTGTCACTTTTCTCCCAAAGCTAGATTCCTCAAACAAGGATAACCGGTATTTTCATTTTTTTCCCCTACCATTCGTTTGATACTATTAAAAGTCAACATAGAGCCTAAAAACAGCTGACTTCTCAATAAACTTATTTCTAGACTAATTTTGGAAGGACAAAAATCAGAGAAGCATAAATTTTTAAAGGTCCTGGTTTTGTTTCTAAATTTAAAATAACTGCATGTTTTATGACTATCTCAGCTGTGTTTTAAAAAATTATTCCCAGGAATGAGCCTTGTTATATTCTGAGTTTAATTTGTCTTGTAATAAAACTTAGATGCTTTTCTGATGCCACTACTCAGTGCTGCTATCCTTACTCACTTTAGCCCGTTACATCTGCTCTTCATTCTCATGGAGAAGAAAATCAAACCAGGGTTATCTTAGTCCCAAAGTCATGCTCTTAAAATCTATTTATGTCGCTTTCTACAATTTCTGCTGAGCCATCTGTATTGTTCGGTATTTCCCTCTGTTTATTTTCTTTTCTAAATTACCTTTTTTTTCCCCCCCCGGGCTTGGTTTTTCGCCTGTCACACATCTCTCATCTAGCCAGAATACATTAAGGCCCTATTTATATACCAAGCACAGTAAAGAAAACCAAGTTCACGTGTGATGAACTTACAGTCCATGGATAAAGAGAACTAACTTAATAGGTAATTATAAGACAATGTGAAGAGGGATAGGAGTGGGGCAATTACCTAAGGAGGGATCCTGATTCCATGCTATAACTTCTGTATTAATCTAAAAATCCATATAATGTATTCTGAGTCTCCATGTTTGTCATCCCAAATTCATAACTCTTACATTCTGTCCAGTACTAGTTATGTTACAGGGGCATTTGCAGGTAGCCTTAATATT